>NC_000010.11:48930974-49082489 GCF_000001405.40 Homo sapiens
ACTCTTTTTACTTTCCTTCTTATATGTCTACATAGTTTTTAAATTCCCTGCAACAGATATAAAATCTATTTCTAACCAGAAAAAAAAGGTACAAACACACATGCATGCACACTCACACTCAAACACACACACACACACACACACACACACACACACGATTCCGCTTCTTTTCCTCTTAGAGGACAGGGTGGTGGTGGGAGTTATTCACTGGAGCTAGATTTGCCTTTGGCAGTTGCAGATAGAGGATACCTGAGAGGTGTCCCCACCACTGCAGACACAGGAATTGGGCAGCAGGTGGAGAGTCTGGTTGCCTGAGGCAGCCAGTGCTGTCCTAGGTCATCTGTGAGCTCTTTATGCTGTCCCAGAGTGGAATGCAAGAGGTGGCCACTGAGAGTGGGGGAGGAGCAGGCAGCCCAAGGCAGCCGTTCCTGTTTCCCTCCAGAGGTACTCTATCAGAGCCAGCCCACCCTCAGCCAGCCACAGAGGGCCGTGCTATAAACAACACGTGGCCTGTTGTGAGAGGGTGGCCCGTATTATGGTGCAATATGGGGAGGATATGTCAAGCAAAAGCTGAACTTTCTCCCTGCAACCTCCATCCAGAGGTGAAGAACTGTGGGGAAACTGTGGCCTACTTTTTGAAGGAATGCTTCAGGTTAGTGGAGAAAAAGGGTAGTTTGGGCTCATTGCTTGCATGGAAGGCCCTTGTCTTTCAGAAAATGCTGCAATGTCTAATCCTAAATTTCTTCTGTAGAAACTTTTCCTAAATTCAGATTTCCTTTTCCTCCTGGAATCTTCATGAGGTTTATCTGAAATCATGACTGAAGCACTAGACACTGCCTCCAATAAGAGAGATAGCTTTCCTTAGGACTTTGTGCAAACAGACATAACTATTGCCAGGAGAATTGAGAATGATGTGGTCAGGACAGGGCAGCACCCTGGCAGCTTCTAGATAGGATGGCCACCCACATGTTAGTCATGCCGGCTGTCCCTTTCCTGCTGTGCCTGAAAAGGCCGGTGGGTAGGCTGCAGGGAGCATGGGAGCTGTGAGGCAAATAGAAGTGAGCCCCACTCCCCTTCATTGCCAACCCAGGTTTAGTCTCATAACACGCCTGAGCCCAGTTTATTGCTCTGCAAAATGGATTGGTCAATTGCTGGTTGTTTGAAGAGTGAATGAGGTGATAAAAATGTTAGGTGACCAGTGTTCAGTGGGCACTCAACAAAGCCAGTCATCTGGCTTCTACCACCAGTGGCGGGTGCTGGTGGGGAATGCTGGTGGAGTCACCAGACTGCACCGTCTCCATCACCTCCCTCAAACCAGCTGCTCTGGGCCACTCCCCACTGGTCAGGAATCTCAGATGGAGGAGTTGGAGAACAATCTTTGCTGATTCCCAAATACAAAGTCTTTGCAACCTTTCAAGCACTGACAAATTATTAATACTAACATTACTAGTGATTGCAGAAAAAGAGATGTAATAATAGCTACTTACAGATATAATTATCCCTATACTCACTTTTAATCTCTAGAGCTGGCTACAGTTCAGTCTCCTCATTCAGTCATCTGTCCAACAGTTCCTACTGGAGTTGTACTATGGGTCAGGTCAGTGGATATGCAGTGAGCAAGGCTATACCTTTGTGTTTCTCGTGAAGCTACCATGTCAAGAGAGAGCAAATAAAAAAAAAAAAGAGGGAGAGAGAGAGAAAAAAAAAACCAAGGAGCATTTCAGTTGGTGTAAATGCTCTGCAAATAATAATAGCTGATGATGTGACAGAGAATGCCAAAGTCAGAAAGGGCATATCGGTGGGGACGTTGCTAACTCAGACTGAGGTGGGTGGGGAGGTCCTTTCTGAGAAAGCGACATCTGAGCTGTAACTAGAATGCTAAGAAGAAGCCACATGGAAGGATTTTGGAAAGAACTGACAGGAAGAGGGTGTAAGCTGGAGGTCAAGGAGGGGAGGGCGAAGAGCTGAGCAAGGGCAGTGCAAGGTGGGCCATGTGCTCATGGGTAGGGGACAACATAAGGCCTTCTATAAGGATAACGCTGGCCGTGGGGAGGCAGCAGAGGCAGGGAAGGAGAGTGATGGAGACAGGCCAGCTGCAGGCAGGAGAAGAGGGGAGTCTGTGCTGAAGGGCATGGCAGAGGAGGGACCATGTGGATCCAGGCTCTGTGGTGGAAGCAGAGCAGATGGAACATTCTTCTAGATTGTATATGTGGACCAGGCAACGAGAAAACCCAAGGGCAGGCTGGAACTGCTAGAGGGGCCTAGCACTTCCCATATCTTTTCCTTCCTTTTGCCCAGCACAAAGTCTAAGTGCCTCATGTGCATCATCTCATTTAATCTAGTCACTCCACTTCACAGATGAAACACCCAGGGCCTAGTCAAAGGCGCATGCCTCGACTGGAGCCAGCATCTCTCTGGTGCCCTTTCCCAAGGACTTAGCTGCCATCTGGCTTTTCCATACAAGCTTGGCTTTACAATGTCAGATGGCTCTCTTGGCCGCCAGTGGCTCTCTTGGCCACCCAGGAAGCTCCTGACTCATCATGTTCTGCAGATGCTGGCAGGAGCTGAGCTAGATCCTGTGGGAAACTTTCTTCCTAGTCCAGGTCAAGCCCCATCCTTATAGCTCATCCCTCCCTGAAAAAGAAGCATGCATGTGTTATTAGACCCAGTTCTAGGGGCTGAGATGAGTTCCATTATATGATACTAGTAGGGAGCTCAGAAACTGAAAAATTGGCAGTGAATTGCATTGGCAATGGGCTGAGAGTTGGCGATGGGGCTGGCAACAGAGTAGACATGGGCGTGGTTCAATTGCACACCTTGTGTTCTAGGGTTTCAGGGGCCTGGAAACATCATCTAGCTTTCACTCTCTCATCTCTCCGCTGATAGGAAGGGAGAAAGGGCCTGACATCACCCTTGATACTGGGTAACAGTGAGAGACCATTGGAGGCCCAAGCAGAAGCTGGAGGCACCAAGCACCAGGCACTAACAAACCGGTCTGCAGACAACCACAGGGCTCAGGGGCCCTGCAGGGTGGACAGCAGCTGTCTCAGTGCCTCCCATCTCTCCCTGGAGGCTGAGGCTCAAACCCAGAAGGCATGTGATCAGAGCAGCTTACAGGCCTGTCACAGCCCTGTCCTCCTAGACGTGTGACTTTGCATAAGTTTCTTAACCTTTCTGAGTCCCCATTTCATTGGCCGGGAGTGTTGTTCCATACTTGGTTCACATAGCATCCGTGTTGTTGATAAATGTATGGAGAATTTATTATGTGCCCGACCCTTTGCAAAGCAAAGACACTACCTACTTTTTAGCACATTAAAATGAGGTTCCTCCCTCTGTATGGATTCTGTGGACCACCCACTATAGGCCAAGTATTTTACAGACATTACAATTGAGTCACAACTGCCTGACATGTCGATTTTCATCTCCACCGGGGGGATACAGCAATTGAGGCTCAGGGAGGCTGAGAAACTTGTGTGGAGTCACAAAGACTCTAAGTAGAGGGCCTGCCTTTTCCCATTATACCTGTCATAAAAGTTGGGTCTTGAGGAGTGTGTTCCTGTGTGTCCCATGAAGAATCCCCCTTTGCAAAGCCCAACTTAGCCTAGGGCTTAACCACTTATTAGTGGGTTCTAGTGTTCAGGATAACTTGTAGAAAAAGTTTACCACCAGACTTCTTAAAACATGGATTGCTCTCCCAACCCCATTACAGTAAGCGGTAATCAGGTTTGTTCTGCTGGGCTGGACCCTCCTGAACGAAGAAGCAGTCACAGCTTAGTTTCCTTAGAGGGGTGACTGGTCGGGTGAAAGCAAGCAGTTCAAACACATCTCCGCCTAGCCTGTAGAGCAGCAAAAACACTCACAGAGACCCAGACTTTGGAGAGAGGATCCCGTGTGATCCCCAAAGCACCAATGACTTGCACACCTGCCTTCCCAGGCTCGCCTGTGCCCTGGCCCCCGAGGATGCCCACTGTGCCCTAGCTAGCTGCCCTTCCTGACTGGGGCTCAGGCAAGCTTCCTCCTCTCCTAAATAATGCATTAGCTGTTGCCTGGGCTTTGTAAATAAAGCATACTGGGAAAACAGGCATTTCCAAAGCTGCTTACTCAAAGGAGGGGAGAAAGAGAAAAAGTAGAGATCCAAGCAGTTGTTTGGCACAGTTAAAGTAAATCGATAAGCGCAGGGCCGCCGCCCGAGCAAAACTTACCCTGCTAGTCCCAGCTTCTCCTCCTCAACTGTGAAACTTTGTCACCAGGCAACAAGAGACTTAGGACCTGGAGGTCATTAGCACAGTCTTGACACCAGCCTGCAAAGTGAGAGGACGGAAGGCTGAAAGGGTCTCTAAGACACTCTAATTTCCCGACAGCCTGGCTTGCCTGCCACGAGGAGGGAACCCCAGGGCTCACCCCCTGTGATTCCTGCAGTTGGGCTTTTCCTGCTGTTCACCCAGCAGTCAGTGGGAGAGGATCGAATCAGAGCCCCTGTCTATGGCAACGGCCAAGCGGATGTGGCTACACAGGGAAGAAGCCACACATTTCTCTTAAAAGAGACCCACATTTCACTTTAATAGCATTCATGAAACATCACTCCCCTTTCTTCGAATTTGTGCAAGTATTTTTTTTCTGCTCTTTGGTTTTTGAGAGGGCTGTCTTTCATCTATTTATTTGAATTTAATTATTTGTTACTCTTTTGTTTCTCTTTGCACCCTTTTTCCACTGTTAAATCAGAGTAGCTACAATACTCATAAAATCATACAGCCCTGTAATCATATTCTCTTACTTGATTGTATGTCATTAAATGCTGATGTGTAGTTTCTGAAATCTGCATCCTGAATGAACACACAGCAGTAAGCCTTGTGCTTTGCTTTTCCTGCTGTTTCCAGCCTGGCATTATCATGAATAAGGCTGAAATTATCTATTTGTGCATCTATGGTCTTTTTTTTTTCAGTTTTTTTCTTACATTAAATTTCCAGAAATTGAGAAAATGAGGAAAACAAATTAAGTATGAAAATTATTATGCAGATGATAAAGCATTGGAAAAAAATTTGAAAATGTATATGCAGAAATAAGAAATTGAAATGCTCTAAATTTTTCCACCTAGTCATAAATTAGAAAATAAATTAACTAGCAAATAAGTGAAATAAGTAATTTCAAATCCAAAATTAAATTTAAGTAGTAAAAATTTTGGAAAGTACAAAAAAAGCAAAATAAAATGACTTCAATTTAGAAATAAAAACAAAACAAATCATTAAATGAGAGCTAACTATAACATTTTTTAATACATAAACATTACCATATCATGTTTTAAGTCCAAAAAATAAAATACATAATTTAATGTAGACAGCAAATGGATTAAATAAATTTCTGAATGAAGATGACTAGAAAATTAAAAATTACCTCAAATTCTACTACCCAGTATACTTCTAATTAGAATATATGTGAATACATAATTTAAAATTGAAATTAAATAATATAAAAATCATAAAGCACATAAAAATAAAATCAATATTTGAAAGAGGAAAATATACAAGATAAATACATTTTAAAATATAGGTATGTAAAACCGTATGAAAATTAAAAGCACTCAGGCCAGGTGTGGTGGCTCATGCCTGTAATTCCAGCACTTTCGGAGGCCGAAGAGGGTGGATCACAAGGTCTGGAGATCGAGACCATCCCGGCTAACACAGTGAAACCCCGTCTCTACTAAAAATACAAAAACATTAGTTGGGCATTGTGGCAAGCACCTGTAGTGCCAGCTACTTGGGAGGCTGAGGCAGGAGAATCGCTTGAACCCAGGAGACAGAGGTTGCAGTGAGCCGAGATCGCGCCACTGCACTCCAGCCTGGGCAACAGAGTGAGACTCCGTCTCAAAAAAAAAAAAAAGAAAAAAAAAGAAAATTAAAAGTGCTCATAATTTTGGCAACTGGCAGTAACTTTGTATTGTATAAACTTCAGGTTTTGTTTTTTTGAGACATAGTCTCACTCTTGTCACCCAGGCTGGAGTGCAGTGGCACGACCTCGGCTCACTGCAAACTTCACCTCCCGGGTTCGAGTAGCTGGGATTACAGGCACCCACCACCACGCCTGGCTAATTTTTGTATTTTTAGTAGAGACGAGGTTTTTCCATGTTGGCTAGGCTGGTCTCGAACTCCTGACCTCAGGTGATCCGCCCACCTCGGCCTCCCAGAGTGTTGGGATTACACGTGTGAGCCACTGTGCCAGCCAACTTTCAGATTTTTAACGTATGTACAGCCTCATATTATGGCATAGTTGTACCATAACAATCTGGTCAATTTACTAATGCTCATTTTTTACCATCATGCTGCCAAATATATGCCACTGATTAGTTTGTCAGGTAGCTGGCATTTCATACATTTGGATGAAGATTTTTGTTTGTTTGCATTTGTTTTCTTCAGTGTTAGGGTCCTGGAGCAAGATCTGGTCCTGGCAGGTGCTCTGAACAGTCAGCGTGTCGGTGTTTATGCTGGCTGCTCTGTGCCAGGCCTAGGGTAGACACCAACAATGAATTTCACCTCCCTGGCCTGTACACCACCTCCTTGCCCCACACCTCCATATCTTCATCTGTTAATGGAAATTATGGTAACCTCATTGGGCCTTTGTGGAAATTAGACAATAGGCAAAAAGTCTTCACACTTTCTAACAGGTTAAACAATTAAGTGTTATTATTAGGTCTAGAACTGTATGCAGATTTTCCACGTTAGGGAAATGAAAAGCGATAGGTAGTTATAACAGAGAGGTTTAATGAGCTGTTCATCCAGCAGGGTGTCTCTGGTTTGAAAGGGTACGTCTGTCTCTACATGGATTTCTAATGCCCTGCCTGGGTTTAAAAAGTAGAGTCCAGGTTGACCAAGATGTGCTTCTTAGGAGAAATAAATGGGGAGAGAGGGAGTGTGTTTGGCTTCTCACTGAACAACTCTGTCCCTGCCACACTCTACCCCTGCCACACTCTGCCCCCAGCATCTCCCCAGCTCACACATTCCCTACCCAGGAAGCCTCGCCTGGCAATGGCCAAGCTGGACTATTTTTCTCCTGTCCTGAGAAATAGCCCACACGCATCAGCAGGCCTGTGTTTCCAGCTTGCCCACATAAGCAAATTTTCTTCTCATTGTGGCTTGCGTATGCCTAGTGCTTCTTAACTCAAGAAACAAATCCCTCAGTCACTCACTAACCCATTTTACCATGTCCTCAAAACTGTTTTTGCAAATAGGCAACACAACATGGGAGAATTTGGAGAGGCAGCAGGATTTTGAGATGTGTCTGCATTAGCTCGGGGTCCCAGGTTAACCTGCAGGCCCTCTGTAGTTGTCTGCCATATTAGGGCTACACCTAGCCTCCTAGTGCCAGGTGAAGAAGAGGATAGGCAGAGACCCCAGACTCCTTCCAGGGCTGAGAGGGTGCAGCCTTTAGCCAGATGAGTCCCTCGGCTGAGAGCCTTTGGTCTGGGGTCTAACCCACCATATCTGGAGGCCCAGCCACAGGCTGCTCTGCCAGCCCCCGATGGAGGAAGAGCTCTTGGAACATGCCTCTGGCTCCTTCCTCTCTGCCACCTGCTCTGGGGGCCTGGTTTCAGGGTAGGGTGGAGGTGCTGTTTGGGTGGAGCTGGCCCAAGGGAGAAGAGTCAAAGCAGGACTATGGGGCAACTCAAGGGCACTGATGCTGTGCAGTGTGGGGTAGGGAAGGCCCTAAGGCCACATGGCAGTAGCGCTCAAGCTTCTGAAGCTCGTCTGGGGGGGTAAAGGACAGAGATTTGGTTAAAAATGAAGCAGGATGGGTGTAAATGACCCCTGAAAATAAGGAAGAACTTGAACTACCCACGACGTCCTGATTCAGAGATAATCTTTCCATCTTTGAAGTCATCCAGTAGAGGTGGACACCTGTCCTGGGTGGGAAGGGAGTGAAAGGGTTGATGTGATGTCCCCTGTATGTCCGCCTGTGCTAGGCCCAATAAGGCCAGGCCGGGTAACCGCCACAATCCTCACTGGCTTCATTCGAGTTCTTCTGTTCTTCTCTGCTCCACCCCAAGTTGCCCACAGGCCCCAGTCTTGTCTTGTAGCTCAATGCAGGCACCCAGCAAACCCTGAGGAGCTTCTCAGAATTGTGTCCACTGGGCTGACTGAGCAGGTGCCCAGGTTCCCAGGTTGCACAATTCTAAGGTCACTCAGAGGGGGACTGGCAGAGCCAAGAAGGTCTTGACCAGAAGCAGGCCCCACTCTGCCACTGCACTCTCCTTCCTCCAAGAGTAGAAAAGAATCTCCCCTGCTCCTGAACAATGTCAACATCGCCAGGACCACGCCTGTTGAGTAGCTCCGTGCCCACACCAATGCTAGCCTTTTCCAGACCCATGGTCTCACTGGCTCTCCCACACCCCTGTGTGACAGGTGTGGCCAGTGTGTTGCAAGGATGATATGGCAAATCAGAGCGGCTTGCTGTCTTGCTCGGGGCCCCCCATTTAAGTGGTGGAGATAGAATTTAGATCCAGGTGTCCCTGACTTCACAGCCAGAGCTCTTTCTCAGGCTGCCTCCCACGGATCTCAGGAGCACATTAGAAAGCCAAGAGCCATTTGCAACATCTTATTTAATCTAAAACTTACATGATAATGATGGATGATGGATGATGCGGTTTATTAACTTTTAAAGAAATACTTTCAACTAATCACCAGTTACCAACAAAATTCACATAGATCATTTTAAGAGTTCTGTAATCACCTTCAGATTAATATGATTTTAAAACAATATTTTTAAAAAATAGATCTCACCTTTGGTTAGGTGTCCTGGAACTGCTGGTAATGGCGTCTTTCTCTGATGGTACCAGAAATAATGGAACTTCCTTGAAGCTGATAGCCAATGAAATGAGGAGGGGGATGGTGAAATGCCTTTTTCTTCTGTACACCATTCCACCTGATAGTAACATCACAAGTGACCACAGGCAAAATTCTAGAACCTTGTCTGAAAGGGAGGAGAGCAGAGACTGAATCTCATTTCCTGGATCCTAACAGGCACATTTAGCTCCACTTCTTTCATTCCTCTGTCCTCACTCCCCTGTCAACTTCTAAAACAGAGTAGCAAGAGCAGCAGGCTGTGGCAGGCCAACTCCACATGCTCATGGCTCTGGAGGGCTCAGCACAGGTCCTTTTCAAGGTGATGACCCTCACTGTCTCCAGCCTGGGCTCTGCCCTTGCCTATAGCCTTAAGAGCAGCCTACCCTCCAGAACTGGGTGGGTGGCAGAGTCGCAGACACAGCAGGAGAACCATATCTTCACTTGACCCTTTACAAGCTAAAGCAGTATATCGGAGCATGTTTTGCTTCTGCTTATTGTTGGGTGTTGCTTGCTTGGATACATGGCCCAAATAGATGACTTCTCTATTAGGGATGAAGAGGTAAATCCCAGCCTGAGGGTTGCTTTCTGCTTATGGAAAATCTGCCAAGTAAAGAATTGAATGCAGAGGGATGGAGAGCCCAGGACAGAAGATGTGACGGTGGGGCTATGATGGGAATGTGAAGCAGCACTGTCCCCCTGGGACACACGGGCAGCCAGGCCTTGTCCAGACTGAGCCCGGCAGGGTCCTGACACAGACCATGCAGGTGGAGCAGAGAGTATGTGGGGACTGGGTCTGTAGGTACCTGAATAGAACTGTGGCAGAGGGGATGGATGGAGAGAACGGATATGATTTGGCTTGGTGTGGTGGAGCATCTTGAGAAGACCTGGTCTTGGGGGTAGAGGAGAGTCTTATGGAGTTGGGGAAGAAACGGCTGGAAAAGGAGCAAAGGGGCACCTTGGAGGCTGAGGAGCTGGGCTCTGTAATCTCTGCTGAAGAGAAGAGAGGTTTCAGGTGAAGGGAGAGGGGCTCCTCCCCACACTCTCCCCAGTATTGCATTTTGTTACCCTTTTTTCCTACCAGGGCAGTCCACAATGGGACTTCTTTGGTTTGATATTTAAGTCTTAATTTTAGCCATGTACATTAGTATGGCCTTTTAAAGGAACCATTTGGCCATAGGTAGCAAAATGGTAAATACTCATACTTTTTAACCCAGTAGCACCACAGCTACTCACAGAAGTACCCAGAGACATGTGCCAAAAGGTGCTCCTGGAAACGTCAGTTGTGAGAACAAAGCCTGTCATGGGGGCGGTGAATCAGTTAGGATCCAGCTGTGCAACCCTGCCCCGTGGTTGCAGAGATGAATGCGAAAGGGCAGTGTGAGCCGGTCTCCAGGGCTGCTGCAGCACAAGGGAGGCTGGGTGGAGAACCGGGTGTACGATGTGATCCCATGTATGATTGAAGTTTTTTAGAAACAAACAACAAAAAAAACTATGTAGGCATATAGGCAGGCATATGGGTAAAACATTTTCTGGAACATACACTGGAAACTGGTGACTGTGGACCCTTCTTGGGAGACCCTTAGGCCATATCTCATGGCCTTCCACGTTGTTTGCATTTTATCCACGAGCAAAACAAGGGGTCGGGGCAGGGATAAAGAAGGCCGAGATGTGGCAGGGGAATTCTGTGTGGGTTGTGAAGGAGGCCCCCAAGCCTGAGGCTGCATGTCCCCTGGAATTCTTGAGGCAGCAGCTTGTTCTGGCATCACAGCGGAGGGACACTGACTGCAAGAACCTAACCTTCAGCAGGCCAGGGTGGGGCAAGAAGAGCTGGATGACAGTCTCCCTGTGCTGTCCGCTGAGAGTTGCTCTGGGATTTGGGAAGTCTGCAGCTTTCCTGAACACCCTGGTCCCGTGAAGCCCAGGCAAGCCCCACCTCTCCCCTGTTTGTATTCTTGCCTTGGTATATTTAGTCACCACCTTGGTTTTCTGTCCCACAGGAGATACCCCGGCTCTGACAGGATCATGCTGCAGAAGTGGCAGGTACAGTAGCTCCTCCAGAGGGAAGCCCTCTGGGAATGCAAACCAGAGAATGGCTCAGGCCCCAGCGATGGAGAGGAAGTGTGTGGATCAACCAAGAAGGGATCTTATTATTTATTATTATTATTATTTCTTTGAGATGGAGTTTCACTCTTGTTGCCCAAGCTGGAGTGCAGTGGCATGATCTCAGCTCACGGCAACCTCTGTCTCTTGGGTTCAAGCGATTCTCCTGCCTCAGCCTCCCAAGTAGCTGGGATTACAGGCACCTACCACTAGGCCAAGCGAATTTTTGTATTTTTAGTAGAGACAGGGTTTCACCATGCTGGCCAGGCTGGTCTTGAACTCCTGACCTCAGGCGATCCACCCACCTCAGCCACCCAAAGGGCTGAGATTACAGGCATGAGCCACTGTGCCCAGCTGGGATCTTATTTTTCTAATTTACCAAAATGTCTCAGACATTTCCCTGACCAGATGTCGGTGATGGAGTACAAATCTTGCACATTGGAGTCAGAGCTGGGGAATGTGCGTGTGTGCGTGTGTGTGTGTGTGCGCGCACGCGCATGTGCATGTACCTGTACACTATGGATGCCTCCGAGTGGGTACACACACCCCATCTGTGAAGATACACATGTATACAGCCACATAGGGGGCAGAGCATGGGTGTCAATTCTTGTTCCTGGAAGATACACGTGGCTCCCAGCCTGGACAAGTTGACATTCAGCCCAGGGTTCTCAAAGAAAGGAAGAGACCCTAAAAGAGGCAGTTGTAGAGATTCGGGGACAATGAGAAAGTAGGTCTTAGTCACTCAGGTCCAAAATCCTCTCCCAAGGGGCAGGTTGAGGAAAGGAGAGCCCCTGAACATACAGGCCACATGTCAGAGATGACGGCTGTGTTGGATTGCTCACTCATTCAGCGGCCTTGGTGGATTTTATTCCCAATACGGGCCCTGTCTCCATTTGTGACTGTTCATCTGGAGGCAGAGGGCCCTTAAGAGTGAGCATCACCCCAACAGGCAGGGACAGGGAATAGGCAGTTCCCAAAGCCCCAGAGGAAGCCAGACCATCAAGCCTGGGAGTGAGGGCCTCTGTCTCTGGGACTGCCATGGCCCATCTGCTTATTTTCTAACCATCAATAGGTCAGCAGTCAGTTCACCCACAGCATTTGTGCTATGATTTTAGTCAACTTCTGAGAACTGCATCCAACAGTTAACACAAAAGCATGTTTTATCCTTGGTGTTGGATGCTGAACTGCATTGGGTTTTTTTTTTTTCCTTGCTGACTTTGCTTCCCGAATATACTTGCCTCCGTTCATACTGAAATTTGTGTGTGGGTCATGCATGAGATGTGCACAAAGTAACCGAGGGGCTGGCTGCCTGTCCTCACCCACAGAGCCAGGGCCTGCTGCCGAGGCCTGAGGGTGGGACCCATGGCTTTGCAGGAGCATCAAACGTATTTGGTTTATCCCCTTTCTGTCTCTTCTGGTAGAAAAGGGACATCAGCAATTTTGAGTATCTCATGTACCTCAACACCGCGGCTGGGAGAACCTGCAATGACTACATGCAGTACCCAGTGTTCCCCTGGGTCCTCGCAGACTACACCTCAGAGGTAAGTTCCTCACGTGGAAACCACAGCTGCCCTCAGGTGTTCGGACGTTGATAACAGAGACCCTAAGTCAGCATGCAGAGCCTCTGCTAGGAGGTTCCGTCACATGAACCTGGGTACCTGGGCCTAAAGGCTGCTGAAGCTCAGATCTCTTTTTTTTTTTTGAGATGGAGTCTTACTTCATCGCCCAGGCTGGAGTGCAAAGGCGCAATCTCTGCTCACCGCAACTTCCGCCTCCTGGGTTCAAGCGATTCTCCTGCCTCAGTCTCCTGAGTAGCTGGGATTACAGGAGTGCACCACCATGCCTGGCTAATTTTTTTTGTATTTTAGTAGAGAGGGGGTTTCACCATGTTGGCCAGGCTGGTCTCGAACTCCTGACCTCAAATGATTCTCCCGCCTCGGCCTCCCAAAGTGCTGGGATTACAGGCATGAGCCACTGTGCCCGGCCTCAGATCTCTTAACCCCACTGTGGCCTTTGGTATTTGGCTGCCTGGGTTCCTGTCCTGGATCCCCCTGTGGAATGATCAACACAACTAACATAGTTGCTAACATGAGCCCCAGGGGGCTTCCTGGCTTACTCTCCACAGTGAAGGCACCTGATGCCATCTACCAAGATGGTGCCATGGGTCAGCCCTTGTGGGGTGAGGCAGTCACAGGTGAAGTGGGCCATGGAATTTGTTCCTAAAATCAATGTGTGCAGGAGAGGGGCCTGGGAAAGAAAGGAGAGAGAGACACAGGGATACAGACACACAGAAAGGACAAGCTACTCTTGCTGTAACTTGAGTTCAGTGACAGAGATGATGGTGTCTGGGCCTCATCTGGGATCTGGACTGAGATGTGTAGTGACAGGGGAGGTTGATGGTGAGATGACAAGAACAGATCCCTCATCTCTTTTAGCCTGCACCCCTGCGCCCCAGCAGGCAGGGAAAGGATGGGGAGTAAAACTCCACAGCTGGACCAGGGTGATTTCTGTGCTTCTATGGGGACAACCAAACTATGGAGCAGTGTCCTGGCCACCCGGGCTCTGGCCATCTGGAGAGGTGCTGGGCCATATGTAAAGCACACAAGGTGGCTGAGCCACTTGTTCAGATGAGCCTGGCCAGTCCTGCGTAGGGCTGCTTGGATGGCAGACCTTCAGGATTTGGGAGAAGGAGACTCAGTCCTTTGTGACCTCTCATCCCTTCTTAAGACATTTAATGCAGCAAAACGTTTCTCACTAGCACTGGCTGCTGCTTATTGCACTAATGGTCCATCGGAGGCTGAGGCATTTCAAACACAAAACCTACTCACATGTTGCAAAGTGGTGGTTTGCAAGCCTTTTTTGTTTAGGTCATACTAGGTATTTAAAACCTTGATTATTTATCAACTTAAAAATTAGGAGATTTCTCCTTTAAAAAAATCTGGATTTCCAATATCTTTTGGAAAACGGTGAGATCTGGCAACTAGGAATTTTTCTGAGCTGGCAAGATTGTGAAAGCTGAGTGTGGGTCTCCGTGTGTCCCCTCCAGCACTCACTGGGATCTTAAGAGGGGCCATTTCACTCTTGCCCCTGCTTCTCCCTGGCTTTTGCAGGCATTTGAGATAGTGACACACTTGGCCCCCAGTGGAGCTTTGAGGATTCACTGCTAGTGGAAAGAAAGGGTTATGAGCCAGGCGCAGTGGCTTATGTCTGTAATCCTGGCACTTTGGGAGGCCGAAGCAGGAGGATTGCTTGAGCCCAGGAGTTCAAGACCAGCCTGGCCAACATAGTGAGACCCTGTCTCTATCAAAAATGCAAAAATTAGCGAGGCATGGTGGCACGCACCTGTAGTCCCAGCTACTTGGGAGGCTGAGGTGGGAGGATCACTTGAGCTCAGGAGGTCGAGGCTGCAGTGAGCCAGGACCACTCCACTCCATACCAGCCTGGGCAACAGAGCGAGATTCTGTCTCAGAAAAAAGAAAAGAAGGAGAGATACACAGGTACCTCCTCCTATAAAGAAATGCAAACCCCAGCAATTCTTGGCTCCTCTGCTAACATACAGAACCTGAAAAGAAAAAGTTTCCCAGAGCACCTGGCCCTGAAACTGGTCCTGTTTTCTCTGCAGTATATTCCAAGAGAGGGAAGGGGCGCTCACAGCATGCTTTCACTGCCCAGAAAGGAGTGAACCTCCAGGAAAAATGAGCAAGTTCCTCTCATTTCCTCCCTGAACAGATGACTTCTAACTTCCTGTAAAATCAGTTTGATTCTAAGCAAGGACCCTGAACTATTGGAGTACATAATGCAGTTTAGGAGCCAAGTGCCTCATAGACAACACGAGTTCTTTTAAAAGTGTCTTTTCAGTAGCTGGAGGCCATGTTCTGATTTGGGTCAACTTGGAACAGGTTGAGTGTGAACTCAGTCTTCCCCTCCTCTTATTTTTCATTTCTCCCTTTTTAAGTCTTTGTGGATCACTGGCTCTGGGGCCATAAAACCCCAGCCTGCCAGCTAACCACCAGAGGCAGGTCAGACCAAATGACTGTAAATCAATAAAGAGAACCATAAAACTCAAGAGCGTGGCTCCTAGGGCACAAGCGGGTCTGGGGAGTTAACTCCAGCTGCACATCTGCCTTCTAGACATTGAACTTGGCAAATCCGAAGATTTTCCGGGATCTTTCAAAGCCCATGGGGGCTCAGACCAAGGAAAGGAAGCTGAAATTTATCCAGAGGTTTAAAGAAGTTGAGAAAACTGAAGGTGAGTAGATCCAGCTTGATTTTTGGTGCAGTGTTATTCATCGGGATGCCCTAAAATGATAGTTGATAACAATTAAGGTGGTCACCTAGCCTACAAGTAATTGCATTTGAATAGAGGACTCTAACCTGGTGGTAGGAAGTGCCTGGGGAGCTTCTAGAAAATACTGATGTCCAGGCCTCACCTCTAGAAATTTGGATTTAAATAAGTCCGTGGTGTGGCACAGCCCAGGGGATTCTAACATGCAGCCTGGCTGGAGAAATATAATGCTAAGAGGTAATGACTCCATGCCTAGGGGCAGGCAATAGCAGAATAAACTAACATTTATTCAGCACTTTCTCTCTGCCAGGGGCAGGCCAGCCTGTGTTTGTATATTACAGTGGTCCATTTCAAAGAGAAGGAAAGTGAAACTCAGAGAGTTTAAGCAACTTGCTCAAGATCACAGCCTCTAAATGGCAGAGCCTGCATTTGTGTGACTCTAGCTCCCAAACTTTGTCCATCTACACGCCATCTTTAGACGTTTTGCCACATTCACGTGCCGTCTGTGATCTTATTGCCTGAATGTTTTACTTTAGGTCTGTTCACTTCCTAAACGTCAATGAATATATGTTTTTAATGCCGTTCATGAACACAGTGTAGCACACATATCTGCCACGTGTGAGTGCAGGTAAGGAAGCAGCCCTCAAGCATGTGTTTTTGTTGCAGGAGACATGACTGTCCAGTGCCACTACTACACCCACTACTCCTCGGCCATCATCGTGGCCTCCTACCTGGTCCGGATGCCACCCTTCACCCAGGCCTTCTGCGCTCTGCAGGTGAGCTGCTGCCACTCTCTGTACACACACACACACACACACACACACACATACGCCTGTATCACAAGACTAAGACCTGTGCTTGAACAAAGACAGGATGCCTCTGCTAAAAACTCAGTCATTAGCCAGTGATTCCCAGTTGACATTGGCTCCAGGATTCTGGCTCACCAGCCAAGGCAGGCTGTTCTTCCTCAGTTACACCTGCACATCTGCCCAACAAAGTCTTGCAAAATGATTCTAAAAAATAAGAAATGAGACATGAAAAAAATGATTTAACATAAATAAGATTTAGTGGAAAAAGAAAAAGCAGGAAACTTGGAGACTAGAAAGGCAGGCGGTCAAGGATTAGAAAAATAAATACGAGAAGGAACAATGAAAAGAATATGACTCAAGACATCGGAATGCATAAATCTGTACCAAGAACAAACTGAAAGGCTTCGAAGGACAAAACCAACTTACCCACCCATACGCTAACAGACCATTATACCAGCTTACGGTCGCCAGGTTTAAAATAAAAATACATGATACCTAGTTAAACTTGAATTCCAGATAAACTATAAATTATTGGTTGTTTATACAAAATTTAAGTTTAGCTGGGCCTCCTGTATTGTATATGGCCACTCTGGTGTCCAAGTGTTGCCAGGTTGGTGTCCAAGGCATGGGGGATTTCTGGGACAGAGTCTTTCATGGGCAGTGCTGTGAGGGTGCTGAGAAGTTCCTTTCCCCTCTTCCCCTCACAACCCTATCACTGGGATCCTGCTTCCAAGGAGCCCCTTTATCCCAGGGCACAGCTTTTGAACGGGGAGATAGCCCTCAGATAGGGCAGCTGGCTCGGCTGACTCTAAAGAGAATATAGCACAGGGAGTATGGGCTGCCCTGATCCAGACCCTGCAATGGTCTGACGGAGAGAAAGGCATGAGCTGGGATGGGCAACAGGCCACTGAACACACAGACTTGTTCTGACACCTAAGCCTCATCTCAGAAAAGCCTGGGTATCCCAAGAACTGTGAGTTTGGGACTGACCTCACCTGTGAGGTCACTCTTTATGGTCACTCAGAGGACCTTGACCCTGAGAGACCAAAGGCCACCCTGCATCAACACTAAAGCCAACTCTGAGCCCTGGGGCAGGAATGGGTAGGCAAGGTCAAGGCACTTTCTCCAAATAAGGAGCAAACGTCCTCCTGTCTTCCATTACTTGGCGCAGCCTTCTCCCTCCTTGACGGCATAACACGTCTAGACATTGTATAACCCCCTCTCCCTGGAAATTCACTCAAAAATAATAAATGTGCTTCCCCTGAGCCTTTCTCAGGCAAAAAGCATTTTAAGTAAGTTTGGTTTGGAGAACAAATGGTCCCAGAGCTGCACCCCATGCCAGGAATCCCATCCAGATGTTGCTCATTAATCCACAAGAAATGATGATCACCGTTGACGATGATAGTGATGGATTCCGCCACTGGTTTCTATCCTGGGAATTTAAGTGTTTAAGTGTTCAGAATGCTTTGGAGTTTCCTGTTGCCCCTTCAGGAGGCTGCATTATAACCCAAAACCCCAGCTCTACCTGTTGCTAAGGATCTTTTCACATCGGGAGGAGACAGAGTGAAATAGAAACAGTCTCAGCTGTGAGATTTACATCACAGCTCTGCCACTTAATAGATGCAAAATCTTCTGCAAGTTATTTTACCTCTGGAAATGAGGGTTAATTATGCACATCTCTCTGGACTATAGGCTGTTGAGAAGATTAAATGAGAAAATGTGCAGAGAACCCCCAGCTCAAGGCTTGATGCTACATAGGTGATCAATCACTGTTAGTTCCCTTCTTCCCTCTGCAATCAGCTAGATCTAATCTGAGCAGGTCTGAACTTGTCCAGGCTGGTCTCCTCTGGTTTAAGCTAATTTAAGGCAGTCTGGACTGCATCAAAGTATTCCAACTTAGCATGAGCTAGACCTAACAGGTGTGTTGTGAACCAACGGGATATCTGGGCTATGGCCACTTTGAAGCTAATCACTGGTTTAAGCTTATTTTAGCCAGTCTGGTCCATTGGTGACCAGGTAAAATTAGTTTGAGATGGTCTAAACCCATGTGAGAGGGTCACAACCAATTGTCCATGCTTTTAGGTGACACAAATGCAGTCATCTTACCTTGAGCCCTTTTGACTCCCATGTTGAAGTCACTGATGTAACTGAGTTTTGGGGCTCAGATCTGTCTTGGGTAGATTGACCCATCCAAGTTGGAGTCATCTGGGCTGTCTCTACATGCTTCTAAATTGGGTCTCACTTTCTTACTTTTAAATGACTCCTCTAGTGGGTCACACCTGGCCCGAGCCTTTGAACCAGCAAAAGAAAGAGCCACCTTCAGCTTTTTCCTTAGGAAAAAAGAATTTTAGCTCTCGAGAGGATGAGTATAAAGGCTACATAGTCTACCTCTGTGGGAGGACACACCAGGCTCCTCTTTGAGAGTGCTGGGGCCTTGGCAGACCTCCTTAAGAATATTCTGGCATCTTCTTGAAGTCAGGCTCTTCCCTCCATCCCATCCTGCCTCCTAGGGGGAGGCCTGTATCTTCTCCAGAGACCTTTGCTTCACTCCTGTGGTGGCTGGAAAGGAGCCTCCCATAGTCTCAGCAGCCCAAGGCACTACTCCCAACCTGGGGTAGATGATGGAGTGGGGAAGAGTGAGAGACGTGGGGAGGCTGTGGAACCCAGGCAAGGAAGCCAGAGCCAGTGGACATGTAAGAGTCAGCATGGGAGAGCACACGTCTCCATTCTGCTTTGAGCAAATGCTACCACCCGCCTATTACCACAGATAAGCCAGAGTGGAGACATACGTGGTGAGCCTGGGGCTCATGTCCCAGCATCCCCAGGGCTGCGTGTCTGACTTTGCTCAGATCGCTTTCTTTCTTAGGGTTCAGTCTCCTTGGTGAGATCAAGGAGGTGGGTAGGAGGATCACCTCTGAAGGCCTTTCCGTAACAGCTCCAATCTCTGATTGCTCATTAAGCACCTACTATGCACCTGGATGGTGCTAAGTACCTTACAGCTGTTATTTAAACTATTTTATACTTATTTGTTGTGGAAAATATGCATAATAAGAAATTTACCCTTTTAACCATTTTTAAGGGCACAGCTCAGTGTCATTAAGTGCATACACATGGTTGTGCAGCCATCGCCACCATCTGCCTCCAGAACTTTTTCATCTTCCCAAACCCAAACTCTGAAACCATGAAACAATAACTCTCCAATCGCCCCTCCCCACAGCACCCAGCAACCACTGTTCTACTTTCTGTCTCTATGAATGACTACTCTAAGCCTCTTATAAGTGGAATTATGCAATGTTTGTCCTTTTGTGACTGGCTTCTTGCACTTAGCGTAACGTCCTCAAGGTTCATCCATTGTTGCGGCATGTGTCAGTTTCCTACGGCTGAGTCTGCGCCCCTGTATTTGTAGACCACATGTTGTTTATCATTCGTCCATGGCTGGGGTGCTTCCTCCCTCTGATGACAATGAAGGGTGCTGCTGTGAACACTGCTGTGCCTCCTTGGACCCTCACAAGCTTGTGAGAGGCTGCTGTGATTAATCTCAGGATACTGAGTCTCTGGGAGGTCACATCCCTCAGGAAATGACAAGGGAGATGAGATGGGTTCTAGCCCTGGGGACACCAAGCCTAAAACACTCATGGTAAATAAAGCAAGGTGGGATCTACAGAGGTTGTCCAGAGGGGACACAGTGCTCAGAGGAAAGGGACATGTGCCATTTTCAAGGCCACATTTTCAGTAGAATAGTGGGGAGTCCCTCGTGCAGCATCACACACAGGTGCACAGGCATGCAGTGTGACATGTAGGCAGTCACCCGGTACTGCAGCAGGCATGCAGTGTGCTGGCTGCATGTGTGTGCAGCATGGCCCCTGGTGCCCCCAGTGCAGAGTGACAGGCAGCACAACAGCTCTGCCATGGAGCACCTTTGCTGTCACGTACTGTATGCCTGTGTGGCACACCCAGTGCGGTCTGCTGGGTTGCAGAGAGGCAGGCATGGAGTTCTCTGGGCACTGTGGCCCATTTACCCTGCACTGTGCAGAGACTGTGGACAGCACAGAGACCCCCTATTGCTGTGCGGTACATTCGGAACACTGGGTATAAGGAGTGTTTTATTCCCTTCAGGTTTAAGTGTTCTTAGGTTTGAGCTGGTCTTATAATTGACACATACTTATATCCTTGCTGTGTTTGTTTGTTTTTCTGTCCCAAGCCTGTTATTACAATAAGATTTTTACAATCCAGAAAATATGGTATATATATGTACTGTGTGATCTGAGCAGGTGGCACATGCAGGCAGTGTGACCAGGCATGGGTCAGCTTTGAGCTCTGTTTTCCCCACTTTCTTGGAGGTGTGAACTCGTCTGTCTGCCAGGGCAGAGGGCTTATCTCCCCCAGCAGCAGCCCCAAGATGCTGTAGTTCTTTTGTTCATTTGTTTTTTGAGACATGGTCTTGCTCTGTCACTCAGGCTAGAGTACAGTGGCATGATCATAGTTCATAGCAGCCTGGAACTCCAGGGCTCGAGCAATTTTCCTGCTTCAGCCTCCTGAGTAGCTAGGACTATAGATGTGCACCACCACTCCTGGATAATTAAACAAACAAGCAAACAAAAACAAACAAACAAAAACAAAGAAACAAAAAAAAGCACACATTTTGTAAAGACGGGGTCTTATTATGTTGCCCAAGCTGGAAAATGTTATAGTTCTTAGGAGTCTTGCCTGCCTAGAGCAAGTGTCTGTGAGTCTCCAGAAAGCTGAGTCACTAGGAGGTCAGGCCCCTGCTGGGGTCCCAGCCCAGGCACCTGTTTCTGCTCCAGTAAAAGCACCAGTTGCTCTCAGGCCTGAGATCAGACCCACCCGAGGTGGGGCCCAGCAAGGCAGCCGGCGCCCACCAAAGACACAGCAGCGGTGGCTGCTGCTGCATTTAATAAGAAACAGAGATAAAGTGCTGTGTTAATTAAGTCACAGCCCATGTGAAGTCAGCTGTTACCAGCAGTGGGGAAGGGTTTTCCGAACCACCTGAGGCGAGATGGCTGGTTTTTGTACAAGACAGATGCTAACTGCAGAGAGAATGGAGAACCGTGGGGCAGCACTTGGCCCATCCTGGCTGTTGACTTAGAAGCTCCTGGAGGGGTCAGTGCCAGGATTCTTGGTGGAGCGTGTGCCAGGGAAGGCGAGGAACCTGGAGCGTCTGTGTCTGTGCTCACACCCAGGTGGACCATGCCTGCCTCTTCACTTGCTGCCTGCAGCTCAGCCCCTGCCTCTGAGGCAAGCAACCCACCTCCTGGTACCCTAAGGCTCACATAGGGCCAGCCTACCCAATGCAGCCAGGGCTGTGGGGCTAGACATAGAAACTGCCAGCCTCCCTCTGATTACAGTGAAAGGGCATGGGATCTGTAAGGGCCCAAAGTGTGACTTGAGGAGAATCATTCAGGATCTCCAACACCGTCTGGTTTTTATCATACAGACTTGAGGAGTATTGGAAAAGCACGTGCAATAGAGACAGACAGTCCCGGGATAATCTCCTGGCTCTAGAACTTTCTAATTGGCATTATTGAACAACGGAGCCTCAGTTTCTTCATCCTTTAAAATAACCCCTAGCTGGGAGGGTGGTGAGGACTAAAGGAGATACGACATGAGCCATTTTGGCTGACCTTAGTGTCCCCTACGTGCCCACCCTCCTCCTCCTAATGCAGGCAGCGTGGTTTCAGCAAGTCTTGACGGGTTCACTCATTTAGAAAAGAGCCACCACCTACAGGAAGGAAAGCTAATGGCCACTCTGGGGTCATCCCGTCCTCTGTGAGAGCAAGACCAAGGAGGCAGCTGGACCAGTGCGTGGGCTTCCCAACGCCATGAGGGTCCTATGCCTTTAGCTTATTCAGTAGCGTGTCAGGGCCTGGCTTTTTCCTGCAGAGGCTCAGAGAATGCTGGGTCCAGCTTTCCTTTCCCCTCACACATTTGCCCCGTTACTTCTGAGGTGCTGTTGCTACCAAAAGCTGCCCTGACAGTTCAGGCTCTCCTTCCTGTTGTCATCCCACAGTCCTTCAGATTCCCCACCCTCCTACCTCTGTCCTCGCCACTGGAAGATCCCGCCTCTCCTCACTTCCCCCTGTACCCCACCTCCTACCTTCCATAACTTCTATCCCCTTCTCCTTTGGAGCTCCTGGTTGCCTTCCCCATGCACACTGAGATCAGGGCCCAAGCCCAGGATTGCTCCCTAGTTCTAATCCTAGTCTGTGAAGGGAAAAGGACACAGGGGCTGGGTTCATTTGGCACCTCTTTCTATGTGCCTGCTTCATCGCATGAGATATGTCTCTCTCTCTCTCTCTCTCTCTCTCTCTCTCACACACACACACACACACACACACACAATTGCTTTCACACCAACAGCTATCATCCAGGGTTCATAGACAAGGGCATGGGCGGTTAAAGAGATTAAGAAACTCACTTGAGTTCATCCTGCAAGTTAAGTGGGCACTGAACTTCCTGCCCAAGCCAGTCTGCTTCTGAAGCCAGTGTGCTTTCCACCGTTGCATACTGCCTCTTTGATTGGCTAAAGACAGCAGGTTAGATCAACTGATATATCAACAGGGTCCTGTAAGTGAGTTGTTTGCATGGGTACTTTTAAATTACTGGAAAGAATATCTGCAGTGAGAATGGGTTGTCAGCCTGCTGATAAAACCACTTCCATATCCAGATGTGGCAGCAGGTTGATTTGGATCAGTGTTATCAGGAAGGAAGAATAGACTTTCTAGCATATATTATAGAAATATCTGTGCATCTTGGTTTCCTTCAGCATGTGCAGTTACTGAATTTCCTGTGAATGTGGGCCAAGAATTGAAGCCACATTGGAGAGGGGTTTATGAATGTCTAATAGTGATTGAAATGCTCATCCATAGGCAATGGTGCACATAGACTTTGTGTCCTCTCATGAAAGGAGTATTTCCTTTAATATAGAACATTTCTTTTCAGGTTTTCCAGCTTTAGCCATCATACCATAATTATAGACTGTCCCCTGATTTTAACTTGGATCAATGTGCAGGAATAGTCCTTGCTAGCCACTTCTTTTCCTATTATTTTGCCCTCAATTTTGCTTCATCTCTTAGCAATATTTAGCACCTCCTAAAGGATTTTAATTGAGAAGAGGTACCTAGGATTATATTGTTTCTGAACTCTTCAATATTCAAAATGTTCCCACATCTTTACATGTGAGTGATGTCTTAACTGAGCACAAAATCCAACAACTGTAACCTTTTGCCTCAGAATCCTCTAGGCTTGGCTGGCTCCATTGTCTTCTGGCCTAAATGTCACATGGGAAAACCTTCTGCCAATAAGAAATTGTTCCTTTGTTGGCAATAATAACCTTGCTATTATTTTTTACAGTTTGTTTGGATACAGGTAGGATTTGTTGCAGAACAGATTCCAGAGCAGCTCTTGGTTCAGGAATTCTCTTTGATCACTTTGTTCCCTTCCAAGTTCTAGACTTAATTGTGCTGGTTTATTTCATTTGGGTCTGGACTTTCCTTAGATAGACACTCTGTAAACCTTGACTGGGTCTCTCTGCCTCTTACCTTCTTGCCCCATTTTTCCCTCTTCTCTTTCTTTCCTCCTTCCTTCCTTTCGGAGAATTCAATCTTAGCTGGGACTGCTCGCTGGCAGCCACCAGAGTTTACATCAACCCACAGACTTACAATACAAGTAACAAAGCAACTCCACTTTTTCTTCTAGGGAATTTGGTGTTTTCTTTTGTATTGCAGAAGTGAGAAGACCCATTAATTTTGAAACAAATGTATGCAAATACATTTATTAATATAGCAAATAGGAAAATCAGTTATTGCTTCCTTTATAAATAATACAGGCCTAAGTTTTAAAGATATTACTTTAGCTAAAATGCATTAGACAGCTGTGAAAAAAATAACAGTTTTCTTTGTGGTAATATCTTTAACCAGATTTGTAGCACTAACAATATTTCGTATGTATATATTATTTTTATTTAATACAGGTAACCTTTTTATTACCAAATCATATTGTTTCTCAGGAGACTACCATCAGCATTCATAAAAGCTGCAAAAGGGAAACAGGACGAGGAGTAGGCATCAATCTCCCGCAGATGCAAGGCTTGGGCTGCAGATTAAATATACAATGCTCCTAATACATTTCAATGAGTGACTCGTTAGGTGAATATTTATTTCGACACCCCACCCCCATTTTATTTCCATTTCAATTTAAATTTGATGGTGGACGTCATTCCCTAATTTCAACCAAGAGCAAAGCGACCTTGGGGAAAAGCCACATGTTTAAAGCTGCCCATGTGCTGTGTTTGCTTGAGTCAGTGTCCCTGTCCCTGTGTGGGGAATGACCCACAGATCTCACTTGATCTGACTCAGTAAATGGACCAGCCAGACCATGACCCTCAAGATGTCCAGGTGTGGCCACCTTGGGTGTGTGGTAGGTTCCCCCCTCTCAGAAAGAGCTGAGTTCCCCCTTGGCCCACACATAGTGGCTTCAGTTTGTCCCAGGTCCAGGGATTCCCCAGGAATCTGGCATGGGGCAAAGCACGCCCTGTGGAGTTGCATCCATGGGTTTGCCCCAGTTCTGCCATTCACTGCCTTGGGAAAAATCAGTGTACTTTGAGGAGCCTCCTTTTTCTGGTCTGCCAAATGGAAACACCAATTCCTTCCTGATGCAGCTGCTGTGAGGATTAGGAGAGATCATCTGAGCATGGACCAGACATGCCAAGAGAAGGCCCCTGCCCTTTTTTACCTCCACCCACCCCTGCAGCTGCCCCCAAGGCTTCCTTGGGTAAATGCAGAGGGAGACCCTCAGCCCTCTGAGCAGGGAAGGGAGTGGCGGGCACAGAGTGGGCACTGCTGTGGCCCTGCCCCTTGTTCCACATGTGTGCTCTGCAGAAGATGGCAGAAGGAGGACAAGTTTTTGTTATACAAAGGCCCAGCCTTGATGAGGACAAGTGAACTATTGAATCCCAGGCAGAAGGCTATCCCAAAACTTACTTAGACCCAAGGCTCAATTTCAGAAACTGTCTCCTGAAGTCCCTCCACCCCCAGCACCTTCATTTCTCTAACCAGGACCTGGAGGGAGGCACCTCTCTGCCTCCTCCAAACCCCCAAGACCACCTGGTGAATAAGGATAGCATCAGCTGAAGAGTTTGACAATTCACATGAGAGAATCTGGGGAAAGAATGTGCCTGAATTCTTACATGGCCCAACCTCGACAGCCAGGCCTGGGGCTGTACCAGGCCACCTGTGGCCATGGGCCTTGGGACCAGGGCTGGCCCTGGCAGAGGCTGTGGACATCATGTCCTTTGTGGACCAGCCTCCTGCCCCTTGAACCTGAAATTTCTCCATCTCTCCACCCTCAGACCCATTCTCTCTTATCGAAGCCAAGACCCCTGGTCCCAGAGTCTCCTTCCTGCCCACGTCTCTCTCTCACCAAATGCCATGAGCTGTGTGTTGGATGTCACCAGGGCCCTCCCCTAGCGAGCTCTCCTCCCTCCTCCCTTCACCCTCCTCCCTCTGCTTCTTGCTCTCCTGCCACCTCTGCTGCTCACCCAAGCCTTGTCCTCTGCTCAGAACACTGCCATATTCCCCATCAGCAAGCTTCCAGACTCACTTCCGGGGCGCCTCTCCAGGAAACTTTTGCTGACCTCCCACATAGAAGGTTCACCCACTTCTTTGTCCTATGGTTGGTTCTTTATTTCCTGCCTGTGGAACTTGGCCATGAGCCTCTCAGGAGCCGAGTCCCAGTCACTAGCACTCTTGCTGCCTCTTGTTGAGCACCTAATTCAGAGCTGGCCCTCTGCAGTCTTGGAAGTGCTCAGATGTGGTTTTCCTGTTTCTGATATGAACTCAGATTTCCATAGGAGGGAAACATGGATTGATTAACACGGATCATGCATTCTGCCTTGAAGCTCTGGAGCAAGGTTCCAGAGACTAATGAAGGAACCGGTGGCTGGAGAACCACGGCACACACATCTGGGCTGATGGGTACACGTGTGTGAGGAGAGTAAATGAGAGGAGCTAATGGTGGAACCCGTGCCTCTGAGGCAGAATGGACGGTGCCTGGCCAGCAGGAGGGTGCCAGTGAGAGCGGCTGGTCATGTTGGCTCCATTTCCCCCAGGGCGGAAGCTTCGACGTGGCAGACAGAATGTTCCACAGTGTGAAGAGCACGTGGGAGTCGGCCTCCAGAGAGAACATGAGTGACGTCAGGGAGCTGACCCCAGAGTTCTTCTACCTGCCTGAGTTCTTAACCAACTGCAACGGGGTAGAGTTCGGTAAGTGGAGGCCTGGTGAGGCCGGGTGAGTGGCGTTGCAGGGTGCTCTTTCCCACAGCCCCTGGGTGATGACCAACATCATCTGGACCTTTGCTAGGCCCTCCCCAGGACCTCAACTTCGGGTGAGGTCTCCACTGGGCAGCAGTGCCCAGAAGGAAAGGTGGTTGCTGAGGAAGGGCGCTGGCCCCAGGCTGCCAGGACAGTGCTGAGCCACCACCCGACCTGCGACTTTTCCTCCGAGGGTCCCAGGTCTCAGTTGGCAGTGAGGCAGTGGCTGAGACCAGGGGCTCTTCTGTGTAGCCCAGGCCTGGCACTGCCTTTCTGCCTCGAGACCTTGGGCAAGCTCCTGGCCCCGACCAGTCCCATTTCCTCCATGTCCCACAAATGGGTTCATGTGGACTCCAAGGGCAGGACCCAGAGATGCTGGGTGTCCTGGGGTAGACTGCTGGGTGGGATCCCAGGGCAGCTGGACGGGCACTTATGGCAGCTCCTTCCTGAACTGCAGGCCCCAGCCTATGATGCAGCAGGGCTTCTTGCTGCTATAGAGGTGGAACAAACAATCTAGGAGACCACGGTGGGTAGCTCCCCTGGGGACTGTTTGTATGTCTCGGAGCTTCCACTGCAAACAGTTGCAAGGCTGAGTCAGGGCAATTTGCAGAGCAGATGCGTGGTCACAGCCTGGGCAGGTCACCGGCCTGGCTGGGAATCATCTTCTGCAGAGAACACGCATGAGCCATCACCAATGCATACCTCGGGCTCTAGAGCCCCCCCTCGTCAGTGTTCTCCTTCTGCCTCCGGACAGCACATAAGGGCATGCACCTGAGCCAGGCCAGATGCAGCCCCTGTAGGGGGTACAGCAGAGGAGATTAGTCCCTGCAAAACCTTGTGCAGGGGTTTTCAGCCCTAGACATGCAGCCCACATCCCTGAGGAGAAGGCCAGACAGTGAGCCAGGCCCCGTGAGTCTGACCTATGGAACCTGGGGACCTTGGTGGTGTTCAAATCGTTAGACACCTCACATGCGTCAGGGGTGAGAAGTGAACAAATTCAAAGGATGGATCCCCCAAAGCGTGAGGAGTCCCACAGCAGGAGTCACTCAGGGAGGGTGGCAGCCAGGAGGAGGCGGCTGGCCAGCCCGGGGTTAGAGCACTGACCAGAGTACCCACTCTGTCTTGGAAATGAAGCCAGACTCTTCTGCAGGAGGCATGATGGGCTCAGCTGCAGAAATGATGGCTCCTACCAGCAATGGAGGCCAAGAGAGCAAATGTCCTCAGAAAAGTCAGGAGAACAAGTGGTTATTGAGCACCTACTGTATATAGGGACCTTTTTTTTTAGGCACTGGGGATTTAGTTGGGTCTCCTGGGATGGCATGTCCTGAAGATGTTTACATTCTGTGTGAGGATAGGAAAAATGGAAGAGAAAATATAGACAATTTCTATACTGTAAGTGAAACACTGTTGGATGCTGAGAAGTCCTATGAGGAAAATAGGTAGGAAAATGGTTTGAGGATGACTCAGCAAGACCTGAGTTTCTCTGGTCCTCAGGAAGGACCTGTTGAGGAGGTGGCAGGTGAGCTGAGATGAGTGATGAGAAGGGCCAGGCCAGGCAGCTCAGTAGCCAAGAGAGAGCAGGGGAGCTTTTATTCCAGCTGCTTCTTGCAGGCCCTGGGGAGGTCAGGCAAGACTGTAGCTCACATTTATGGAGTAGCCATCATATGCCTGACGTCATTCTAAGCATGTAATGTGTATTTTCTCCTTTAATCATTATGCCAGCCCTATGAGATAATTCCTGTCATCACCTTAAATTTTACAGGTGGAAAATGAATCTCAAAGAAGTGAAGTGGCTTGTGCAAGGTTGGGCAGCTAATGGGGAGGAGGGAGACTTGGGTTGAGTCCAGCCTCCTCATTCTACTGTCAGGGGAATCTCTGTCTAAAAACCTTGCTGTCCTCGCCTTAAAAACGGAGAGAAAATGCATAAATTATCAAGTTAGAATGAAGATTCAGTGAGGTGATGTGTGGCCAGGGCCTAGCCTAGCTCCTGGCGTGGAGTGAGGTGCTTAGAATTTGCCAGCTTGCACCACTATCACTGTATCTCCTGATTGTTTAATGCTGTGTAAAAAGCACCCAGAAGAAAGGCACAGTACAGTGCAGAGGAAGATATACCACACTGATGACACTGAAATCATTTCAGATGACTTGCAAAGCAAGCACTAGCACTGCCTGGGAAGCAAGGAGGGCCTCCTGGAGGAGGCAAAGGCCTAGAAGCCATGCTGAGGGGTCATTCCAGGCAGAGAAGATTGAAAGCAGCATGGTCTGCAGAGAACATAACTCACGTTCAGACCTACACAAAATCAGCAATCCTGGGCAATGTGTATTTTACATCCCCCAGTTCCTAGCCTGATTTGAGTTACCCAAATCTCTGCTGCTTCTCATCCCATGCAGGCTGCATGCAGGACGGGACTGTGCTAGGAGACGTGCAGCTCCCTCCCTGGGCTGATGGGGACCCTCGGAAATTCATCAGCCTGCACAGAAAGGTGAGTCAGGCCAGGACCCCTGGTATCCTGCTGGGGACCTGAACATCCCCTCAAGTTCCACCGAGGCTTTCTGTCCAAGTGGAGGGCCAGTGACCAGCACTGTGAGGCTCATGTCTGGAAAACCCAGAGAAGGGATGGGGTCTATACCTTAGGTTGGCAAGGAAAGGCTTGAGCTCTGGGCTGTTTCAAGAGCTCCAGTAGACCCTGCCTGGGTGCCAGCTTGGTGAGGGTTTCACTGGAGGAAGTGAGCTTAGTGCCCTGGAGGGCAGGTCAGTGTCCTCAGCCAGCCCTACAAGAACATCCACTCCCTGGGCCTGACTGCTCAGCATAGTTCAGAGAGGGTTTGGAGCCTCCCAGGGACTCCCACTGGCCAAAAATTTTCCAGAACTGGGGAGAAATTGGCTTATTACCCAAAAAACTGGACATGGGTAGAGACCAGAGGTCATTAGGGACACATGCTGAATCAAATTTCTGGGTTAGTTTAAGCACATGAAAGACGTTCAACATCATTGGTCACCAGGGAGAAATAAATTAAAACTACCATGAGATGAGATGCTATGACATACCCACCGGAGTGGCTTAAATTTAAAAGACCAGTGAAACCAATAGTTGATGAAAATGTGGAGCAACTGGAATGCATGAGACATCAATGGTGGGAAAAGCAAAACGGTACAACCACTTTGTACAAAAGCTTGGTAATTTTTTTAAAAATTTGCAGGTGCATTTGCCATATTACCCAGCATTTTCCCTTGTAGATATTTACTCCAGAAAATTGAAAGCATGTCCACACAAAAACTTGTGCATGAATCTTCACCAGGTTTATTCAAACTAGTCAAAAACAAAACTCAAATGTCCATCAGCTGGTGAACAGATAAACAAATGATATATCCACACACACACAATGGAATGCTACTCAGCAGTAAAAAGGAGCAGATTTACTGAATCAGTTTACACAGAACAACATGAATGAGTTTTAATGCATTATCCTACATGAAAGAAGCCATAACTCAGGGCTACATATCATGTGATTTTTATATACAGGCATGAAATGTGACATTTAGAGGCAAACTATAGGGACAGAAAACAAATTAGTGGTTCCTAAGATCTGAAGTAGGAGAGTGACCACAAAGGAACACACGGGGGGACTTTTTGAGCCGAGGGAAACGTTCTATGTCTTGACTGTGGTGATGGTTACATGACTGAATGAATTTATAAAAACACTTTGAACTGGGCATTTTAAAAGGGCAAGTTTTATTGTATGTAAATTACACCTAAAAAGTAAAAATAACCTGAGGCAGGTGTGACTAGTGGCAACAAACCTATGCCTTTTCCTGTCCTTTTCTGCAAAGAGAAAGTTCTTCTTGTTTTATTCTTGCCTCTGGAAACTCAGTGATAGGAGTCATCCCTCTCAGAGCCCACTGTCTTGAGTACTTGGGCCAGAGATGAATGTAACTGCAGGCAGCAGCAGCCATAGTCTGATAAAAGACAGAGGTACACATGATTCAATTGACCAGAGTGTTGCTGGAATGATGGACCACTACATCTAAGCTGGATAAAGATGTAGCCAAAAACAGGTGGGTGCTGATATAATGCAAAGAAGAAAAGGGACAAGGGGACCTGAGGTTGTGACAAGGTAGAAGAAGAGCCTTAGGAAGCATGTGAACACCCAGAAAGGTGAGGAGGATGTGACTTTTGCCAAGTGGATGTTTGAATGAGTGCTTTAGAAGATGAGGCAGTTATGGATACTGACATGGGTTAAGGTGTGGCCATGGGAATGGTGACTTTAGGTGGAATGAAGGCAAAAATTTTTGGAGATGTGGAGCTTAAGGAACCGAGAGGCCAGAGATCACAGTCACTGAGGATGATGGCAGATCTTGGAGAAGAAGGGAAGATATGGCCAGGAATCACCATCTTTGATGAATGAGGAGAACAGAGAGAAGTTGTTGGAAGACAGCAGTGAAGATGAGGAGTGAGTACAGCTAGATCTCATGCAGCACAGAGAAGCAGATCTTTTGTGATTTTTTTTTTACAAGAGGACAGAGGACCAATACTCTGGAGGTGGCGATAAGGACTGAGGAGACACCAGCCCAACGTCCTGGCCCCAGACATATGGGTTATGTCCAGCAAGTGGCCACCACTTGAACTTGCTGAAGGAGAACTGGTGGTCTTAGGGAAAGCCAGGCTTCATCTAAGGAAAAGAGGTGGAGGAATGTTTGGGAAGAGCTTGAGGACATGGGATATGTGTTGGTTAGCAAGAGGTAAGAAGAAGGGCCAGCAGAAGGGTCAGCTGTCCTGGCCTATGATCTGCCCTCACCTGGGTATGCCTTTAGTGGTTCTGTGGCAACCACCAACAAATGGCTTCATGCAAACATCTCCAGAAGTTCATGAGGTATACCCCAAGCCAGGTGGTAGGCTTGGGAGAGCCATACCTTTCATTACCCCTCGTATGACATGACTCAAATGTGGCCTTCTTGGCTCCAAAGCCACTTTAATCATAGACCTCAGAAAAGCCAACTTAGCACAGGTGACCTGGCTTCTTCAGATCCAGGTGTGTAGGGCAGCTTGTCCTCCCAGAGGACCAACAAGGGGAGCCCAGACAATCCCAAATGAACATTTTGAGGCTCTGGGCACCTAGCCCTGAAGCTAGGTTCTATTCAGTAGAAACAGGTGCCACCTCTCAGATAGACTGTGATATCGAGACACTGGGCCATACTTCCTCTTGCTCATGTGTGACACCTGATGAGAATTATTGCCAACCTGGGTCCCCCATTCTGAGCCAGTGCCACCCATCTGGGCTCTATGCATGAAAGATCCAGCATGCTTGGCTCTTATGCTAAATTCTTTGGATGACACCTTTTATGAGGGGCAGATGTTGCTGACTTCTGGTGGGAGCTGTGGTCCTGAATGGGATGAGGTTTACTTCTCACTTAAAGGTTGTAAACTCGGATCCAGGCTCCATGTTTGAGTTGAGAATGTCTCCTGTCCTCCCATCTGGAGTCAGTGAGCCTGAGCATGGACAGAATGTTCCTCAGGTCTGTGAGTGCGTGGGTGAGAAACTCCTTGCCTGCTGCATGCCCCCAGCTAGACACAGCTGCCCCAGTGAAGGAAGTTCACATTCCTGGGGGCTAAGCTGTACCTCAGAAGCAGGTTCTATCATTTCTGTGCCAGGGATGATTTAGAAGATGCCCACACCCATGTCCAGAATTCCCCAGTAACTGAGTGAAGTGAGATCTGCTCAGTGAGACTGGATGCCCCCTGTGAGGTTCTGAGGAATGAAAACTGGGGGCTGGAGTGTTAGGATCAAAAACCACACATGAGCCTGCCCTAGAAGTGGGTTAATTATACCTGCCACCAAAAGGCGGTGTTCATGGGAGGAAACAACACCTGTGAAACAGCCAGTGCCTGGCATCGTATGTGCTTAGTGAAATCACCTAACTCCTGGAGCTCCCTGTGTGTCAGCCGTGGACACAACTTAATTCTTACATGAACCTGCTAAGAAGGTACAATTGTTCATTTTACAGATGAAGAAACCAAGGAACAGTGATGTTAAGGAATGTGTACATGGCAGCACCCACACCCACTGTGCTCGAGAGCACGGTCTCCTGATCACTGCACTTAGCCTCCGCCTCCTGACACTCTCTGGTCAGAACCAGCTCTCCTTGTTTCATATGTCACATCTCAGCAAGACCCCAAGACTTTATTTTCAGCCTTGTCTCTTCCATTTAGATGTCTTTCCCAGGCCTGCACCTCATAGATACTGTGGACACCATGGTTGTTTTATGACATGGTTGAGCTGGGGTGGTGAAAACAGTCAGATCTGATTTGCTGCTGGCTGCAGACAGGACTAGGGTGGCCCTCGGGTGGCTGGCTCATCCTGCCTCTTTGTGCTCATCAAGCCCAGGGGCTCATCAATTATCTCCTCTGTGCAGGGCCAGCACTCTGAAGCATGTGCCCCTTCCAATCTGTGCAGCGAGTGCATGAGTCCATGAGTGGCCTGGGTTTTAATGCTCTTTGGGTTTTTGTTCCAGGCCCTGGAAAGTGACTTTGTCAGTGCCAACCTCCACCATTGGATAGACCTTATTTTTGGGTACAAGCAGCAGGGGCCAGCCGCAGTGGATGCTGTTAATATCTTCCACCCCTACTTCTACGGTGACAGAATGGACCTCAGCAGCATCACTGACCCCCTCATCAAAAGCACCATCCTGGGGTTTGTCAGCAACTTTGGACAGGTGCCCAAACAGGTACAGCATGCCTTGTCATTTGCCTTGCTTTCTCAAAAGAGTGTGTGCAGTGTGAGGACATTCTCTCCTGGGGTGAAAGTGAAGGAGATGGCTGAAGAGGTGAAATGGTCCCCCATCATCTTCCTGTGCTTTCAATATCAGGCTTAACCCTCAGTTACCACCTGATGTTGATGCATATGATGACATCATTAGTGAAACTAGTGAAAGTTGTGTTTGTCTGTGACTGATCTGATTTTAGACACTACAATAGATATGTGGTAACTAATTACTTGTGTTCGTATCTACCCTACAGGTTTGTTGTATCCAATGACTTAAGACATATCAAGTGTTTGAAAGTGCCTGAAATATGACCAGCACTTAACAAATGTTAGCTATTAGTGTGATTATATCATTGAAATCTCTCGTGAGCTCTGGATATAGAGAGTATTCTTTTATGGACCAGGAAACTGAGGCTCAGAGAGGCTAAATAAATACCTTGCCTAGAATTACACTAACAGCAGTCAACAGAGGTAGAGCTCTGGTCCTATCTGAATAGGTCTAAAGCTTGCACCATGTTGTCACCAGTGTGAGAGCATCTGCCTTCTACCTGCCAGGCCTCTGGTGAAATTGTGAAGTCTCACCTGGGCCTTCTACTCTGCTGGCTCTGTCTCCTGTCAAGATAGTCACTTAGCAATATGAGGTTGTGCATTCCCCTGTTGACATACTGATGAAAGCACAAGTTAGGTGCTTATTTAATTGATTCTGGCCCTGTTGATCCTTGAACTGTGGTTGTGTGTGGAGGTGTTTTGTTCCAGCCTTCCCCACATGCAACCATGAGGACTCGGGGTGGGGAGGGGCTCCTTCTGCAGTTAGTGCTAAACTAACATCTTTCTCTCTGGTCTCACATGACATGCTGAGGTTTGCTCAGCTCCCAGGTAAAGGGAATATGAGGAAGGTATGAGGGTGACTTGGAGATTGGATGGCACATCCAGTGTGGGTTTGCTGGGAGGCTTTGTAGGAAGGAAAGAATTTCAGGAAATAAGCCTGTTAGCCTAATGGTTTCATTTCTTGAATTTAAAAAATATATAATAATACAAAGCAACAAAATAATTCAAAGTAGTAGCCACTACCATCCAGCCATGTCCTGCCTCATGTACTCATAGCCCTTGTCCACAGCACAGATCTTTTCCCGTCAGTGTAGTCATGGAGTACATATAACTTCAGATTCTGACTACTCAACAATGTGTCATAGGTGCTTTCACAAGTATTTCTAAAGTAGCCATCAGAATGAGAATCCCCAAGTGTCCCAGTCTGAAGACAAGATTGCAGCACTCAGACTCCATGCTGCTCCTGACAGGGGCTGTGTCTGCTACTCCCAGTCACCTTGAACAAAGAAGAGTGCTCATTATTAAACACTCATTGAAAACTCATCATTTTGATTTCTGTTTGCATTGATCGCCCACCCAGTTTTTTTAAATAAGTTACCATTTGATCCAGGACTATAACTGAGCTGAGGTTTCTCTGAGACCACCCATGCCCACCCCAGCTGCCCATCGAACTGGAGCCCCAACTCTGCCCATGTCCACAGCCTGGACCAGCTTCCACCTCTTCTCCCTCCAGCGTACGCCTGGTGGATGACTTGCAGGAATGTGCTTCTGGCTGGAAAGAGCAGCCAGTAGGGCTGCAGTCTGGGAGAGACTGCAAGGTAGAGAGCTGGATATAGAGTTGAAACTTATATCTATATCAGTTAGATATAGATTATATCTGTATCAGTTAGATATAGATTATATCTATACCAGTTAGATATAGATTATATCTATATCAGTTAGATAAAGATTATATCTATATCTATAAACAGCTGATATAGAGTCCAGCAGCAAGGACTCAACCAGGCAGCATGGCTCATGCTCAGGGCTTGGCTTGGTTTTGCAGAAAATTTGGCATTAGGCACAATCTGATGGCAGAGATTGGAGAAAAATAAGAAATAGGCCACTAATGGGATTTGCCTGTGTTCTTTGGAATATTTGAATGGATGCTGTTAAAGACTTGTGTTGATGCTTAATGAGCCTGCAGAGAGTTGGTGAGGGAAGGATGAAAACTATGAGAAATAGGTTGAGCCAATAAAGGGAGCCACGTTATCTAGGGAACGAAGAGGGTCACTCCAGCCTCATGATTGAGAGACAGTTCTTCTGGGGACCAGGGGCTCTTCAATGAGGCCAGTCTTCTCCCAAGCAGCTTGGGAAAGGAGAGATTTGGCAGGCAGAAGGGCTGCCTTTATGACCTTGAAAAAGTAGCTGTCCCTCTGTGAGCCCCAGGCCCCTCATCTGCAGCGTCTGAGGGCTGGACCAGAGGTTCTGTTCATGTTCAGCTCTGTCAGGAACAAGCCGAGCTGTGGCAACCCCCAGAGACAGGGTGCAGCTACAGTGTGCACAGGGACGACCCCTCCTCTGGGCATCTCTCCCCTCATGTGTGTCTGTTCCCTGTCTCTCTAGCTCTTTACCAAACCTCACCCAGCCAGGACTGCAGCAGGGAAGCCTCTGCCTGGAAAGGATGTCTCCACCCCCGTGAGCCTGCCTGGCCACCCACAGCCCTTTTTCTACAGCCTGCAGTCGCTGAGGCCCTCCCAGGTCACGGTCAAAGGTGATTCCCTGGCCATGCATTGTTTGGTGTCCTGTCCCAGGGTTGTCCCTTCAGTGGCTGGGTTCCTCTGGAGGTCCAGCACCACATACCTGGGCAAAGTATTGGGGACTGACTTTGAATGGCTGCATCTCCAGTCACAGCCAGATTCTAGGGGGGTGTCATCTCTGGGAAGTGTCTAGGAGCTCCTCTGTTAGACCCTAACTTCTGAAGACCCACGTCTCTCTGTCTTTCTGTCTGTCTCTCTCACACACATACACACACAGACACCTCTTTCAGGCACACACACACATCTCTCTTCCTCTTCCTCTCTTTTATACATGCACACACACATGTACACACACATACCTTCTCTCCTCAAGAGACCAGTGGAGAGTCCCAAGTTTCACAAGGAAGGATTACAGCCTCTGTGCTTTGGCCACTGGTCCTCCTAAGCAGGGCAGGGGACTAAGCTAAGCACTCTAAGCAGGCAGCCAGTAGCTAAGAACATGTGCTCTGGGGCAGATGGCCCAGGAGTGCATTCCAGTCCTACTGCTTCCTGACTGTGTGACCTTGGGCAAGCCATTGAACCTCCTTGTTCCCACGGGGATTGGAATAGCATTGAATGGATGCTACTACAGATTTGTATTGATGCTTAGATAAATGAGCCTGCAGAGAGTTGGTGAGGAAAAGATGAAAAACATGAGAAATAGGTTGAGCCAGTGAAGGGAGCCATGTGATTTAGGGAGGGAAGAGGGTCACTCTGGCCCTATTATTGAGAAACAGTTCTTCCAGGGACCAGGGGCTCCTCAACAAGGCCAGTCAGCAAGAGCGCAATGAGATGGGCCACCTTCGGTGCCCAGCACATAGTGGTGATTATTAGTCCATCTCTTCTGACCATAATTCAGTGGCTTCCTTGGCTGCCACCAAGGCTCAGAGAGGCTCTATAGAAGCAGGAGTCCACTGGGGTGGGGGTGGTTCCACTGGGGTGGGGGTGGTCCCAACCAGCCCAGGAGGGAGGATCTCCCAGATGGAAGCAGAAGAGAGGGTGAGGCTGGGTTCCTAGGGCCATGTATGTATGAAGTCGGGTGCCAGTGTCATCTGAGGACATGCACTGCCTTGGGGAAATCCCACTACACTGAACAACATGCAGGTCCCAAGGAGTATGAAGTTAAGTTTTCAATGGTTTTAGTGGTGTCCTTTTTTATCCTTGAAGTCCAAGAACAGTGTCATTGGCACACCCCACCCTGGTAGATAAGGTGCTACTGCTCTTGGCTCTGGGGACCATGCCTCCATTTGCCCCAGGACTGGGGATCCGCTGCTGCATTGAAGTCCCTGGGCAGTCAGGCACAGCCCCTGCCCTCATGGAAAGGGACATGAGGTGCAAACCACATCAACAGTAACAAGGGAGCTCAAATCTCCCATGTGGGCTCCAGGAGACTGATGCAGATCTTACCAGCCACGGGTCCTGGGGATCCTTCCTGAGGCTCAGTTTCTTCATGTGTAAGGTATGGAAGACAATGGCCCTGCCCTCAGGCTTGTGACAGTGCCATGAAGTGGTGTCTGTCACACAGGCAGGCAACAAGCCAGCGCTGAGGCAGGAGTCCTGGCAGATGCTGGTGCCACTCCGAGCACACACACTGGGCCTTGCTTTAAGGGGCCTGGCTTTACTCTCTCCCTTTGATCTGAGCAGCCCCAGAAGGTAAGGGCCATTGATGCCACAGTCCCTTCCCTATGGGGAGAGACATCTCACAGTCTTATCCTGGAGCCTTTCCTGAATCCTGCTCCCTCTCTTCCTCCTGGGTGGTAGGGTCAGGAAGAGGGTGGTTCTCCCACTTCACCCAGCACAGGGCAAGGAAGGGAGTGGCCCCCACCAGGAGGAAGGAAAGGCCCCTACGTGGTGGGTATGGTGTGCACAGTCTTAGAAACTAGGCTGGCCTCAGTGTTTTGAGTCAACAAGCTGCACCAGGCTCTGTGCCAGGGGACACACATTGAAAGGGGCATGGTTTTCTCTACTCCATGGGAAGAGGCTAGGGTCTGAAGAGATGGAATGACTTCACCAGCATAACCAGACTTGGAATGAGGTCTGGGCAGCTCCAAATCCCGTGCTGTGAGCCATATTCCAGCTGGGGCTGGGGGTGGCTCCCAGAGTGGAGCTGAGGGAGGATGGGAATTGTGCCTCCCTGTGACTCCTGCCCCGGGGCCCGGCTACAGTGGGTGCTGTCCTTCTGTGCATAAGTTCAAGTCCAGTGTGTCTGCCTGTCACTCCTGCCCAGGGCCCAGCTGCAGTGGGTGCTGTCCTTCCATGCTTAAGTTCAAGTCCAGTGTGTCTGCCTGTGACTCCTGCCTGGGGGCCCAGCTGTAGTGGGTGCTGTTCTTCCATGCATAAGTTCGCCATACTAACTGGGGTGTAGATATGTACCTCTTTTCTCTAGGCTCAGAGTCCCCCAAAGGGGCCATTGGCCACATTGTCTCTACTGAGAAGACCATTCTGGCTGTAGAGAGGAACAAAGTGCTGCTGCCTCCTCTCTGGAACAGGACCTTCAGCTGGGGCTTTGATGACTTCAGCTGCTGCTTGGGGAGCTACGGCTCCGACAAGGTGAGGGGGCTGCAGGGAGCAGGGGCAGCCTCAGGACCTCAGCCTTCCTCCAGCTGGAGGCAGAGATGGCCCAGAGATAAGTGAGTCCAAAGCAACCTCGCTCACTTTCCCTACAAGGTGTGCTGCCAGCCTGGGCGGGAAAGGACTCAGTGACCATGCAAAGGCCCTCCTTGGGCCGGGCCTCAAACCCTCCTTCCAAGGCTTGCAAGTTGGCAGTGTATACTGTCACCTCCAGAGCAGAGGCTAACTGGACACATGGCCACATTGAGCCCACCCACACTGGCACTAAGTGTAGGAGGGAAGTCCTGGGGGCTCCTCTGTTTCCAATCATGATTTAAACTCAAAGGACACATGTTGAGCATTTGGGGGCTGGCAGGAGCAAGCTGTTTCCCTACTGGTCCTCCCAGCCCCCGTGTAGGCCATGCAGTCACCTCTGCCTTCTTGATGTGGCCCCTGCCCTCCTCCTCAGGCCCCATTCCTACTCCAGCTCCCCTCCCCTAATCCCATCACTTACAATGAATTCCCTATCCCCCAAGCTCTCCCCAGCCCCTCCCTAGCCTTGCCCCACCAACTTCTTGAGGCAGGCATGGAACTCAGCCCCACATGTCCTCCCTCCTGACCCCCAAGCTAAGCCACCCCGTGCTGGTGCTCATGGGGTCTTCCCAGCATCCCTCACTTGTTTCTTCCCACCTGCTGGAGGAGGAGCTCCTGCGTGGGGTCCCAGGATGGTCTGGATTTTGTCACCAAGAACTGGCTCCTGAACACATGGCATGTCCCCAGTTCCCAAGGCACTCAGACTGGCCCACATACCCCCGTGACTCTATCCTGGGCTCCTGTCCCTGCTGTCTCCACAGCAGCGCTCATCCCCCTTATCTCCTACAGGTCCTGATGACATTCGAGAACCTGGCTGCCTGGGGCCGCTGTCTGTGCGCCGTGTGCCCATCCCCAACAACGATTGTCACCTCTGGGACCAGCACTGTGGTGTGTGTGTGGGAGCTCAGCATGACCAAAGGCCGCCCGAGGGGCTTGCGCCTCCGGCAGGTATGGTCCAGCTCGTGCAGGTGCGGTCCTCAGGTGGGGACAGTACTTCATGTAGGGACAAAACCTCTGCCTGGCATGGCACCTGGGCAGGTGTGGTGCCGGAACACACCCTAACTCTGCTCACTGAGGGCCCTGCCACCCTCAGAAGCTAGGAATGAGCGAAGTGAGGTGCAGAGGGTGGCCCACAGCTCAGTGTCATTCAGGAGTATCATTTTATTCCCATGGTGCATTTGACAGGTACACAGGGCAGGTGCCTCCACAGAGGCCCACACCTTAGCGAGAGATGCCGGGCCACACACAGTCACTTCATGCACATGACAGGTCTGGTGAAATCAGTTTCCTTACATCAGATAATATTTTTTGAGCATTTTGCCACAAGTTGGCCTTTATGCCAAGGATTTTTACACGGATTGCCTCATTTTAGCTTATTGACAGCCCTGTAAAATAGGTGCCATGATCACCCCTACTTTATTGGTGAAGGAAAAATGAGATGCAAAGAAGTTTAAGTGGTACATCCAAGGTCAAATGAAAGACTTTCTGAAAGGAAGTGGTTGAGGTGGGAGGAGGAGGAGCCATGAGCCAGGAGTCTGAGGATGTGCACCACCAGCCCTCATAGAGAATGCTAATCGCAGCGGCACTTAACGTTTGCTTAACATTCCAAATGCACCAAGGCCCTTCTGTATACTAATTTTTTTCTATGAAGAAGGAACTATTATTTCCACTTTCAGACAAGGAAACTGAGGCTCAGAACAGCTTGCATTTGAATCTAGGTTTGTCTAACACAAAACCCCATGCGCTCTCCCTGCATACTCCGGAACTTGCTCTAGAATATCACTAGGGGACACTTTCAACTCTAAAATCCAATTCATTTCTGCATCTATTTTTTAGTTAGCCACAGAGCCCTAAAGTAATAGAAACAAAAATAAGCTGTACAAAATCACTCACGCCTGTAATACCAGCACTTTGAGAGGCTGAGGTGGGCGGATCACGAGGTCAGGAGATCGAGACCATCCTGGCTAATACGGTGAAACTCTGTCTCTACTAAAAATACAACAGATTAGCCAGGCGTGGTGGTGGGTGCCTGTAGTCCCATCTACTCAGGAGACTGAGGCAGGAGAATGGCGTGAACCCGGGAGGCGGAGCTTGCAGTGAGCAGAGATTGCGCCACTACACTCCAGCCTGGGTGACAGAGCGAGACTCTGTCTCAAAAAAAAAAAAAATTCACCACTGACCAAATTTACTAAACTGAACATGTTTCACTGAAACATGTTCTCTGGATAATTTTCACTGAAACATGTTTCACTGAAACATGTTCTCTGGGGTTCTCTGGATAATTTTCAAGCCACTTCTGTCACCCTAGACCGTGTCCTTGTCTCCTGGTGCCATGCAGGGCATGGAGGGTGCTGCGTGGGCACTCAGCAAATGTGAGGTGAAGGAATGAATAGGGCAGTGCGAGAAGGGGCTGACACATATGCAGGGGCAGTGCACCCCTGAGAGGCAGCTGTACAGGCAACAGGCAGGTGACCTTCACCAACTGCTGTTGTCAGTGGGCTGGGTATGATTCCTGATCTCAGCAAAGGGACTGGAAATGAAAGACTGGAGTGCTCTCTCCCCAGCATCCCCATTGCCCATTTACAGCTTGCCCTGGGGACTGTACATAGTTCCACCTGACCCTGGGGCTGGCCTTGGGGTACTGGGGCAGTGATTTTTCTATCATCCTCTGAGTTCCCATTTAACAGTGAAAATGCACAGAAACACCCTCGTATCGACCTCATAAAAATGTAATTTATCATCCTCTCCTACTTCCAAATCAACAGGAAAAGATATGGGAATCCCACATGCTCTTATTTTCTAAAAATAAAACACTTTATCACTTACCTGTAAAGGCTAATGTAGGCTTGCAGATTCCCCAGACCCATGGCTGCTCAGTGAAGGGGTCCATTCCTGACCTGTGGACAGGAAAGTCATCACTGAAGAGCCTCACAGGCGGTTCAAAAAGTATTTTATTTTTAAAGATACTGCAACGTTAAAGAGACATTTTAAAATTACTTCAAAGACAAACAATTCTCTACCATCCCTATAAAAGTTTTCAATTTTGCATACTCTTATCCCCAGATATACATATTTATATCTTTCTGATCATTGTGTAGATATTTTATTCTATTTTCACTCAGCCTATCCAATTGTTTCCATTTTTCTACATTCTCTATAATTTACATTTCAATCGTTCCATATCATTCCATTTCCATAAAATTGCATTTCGATTGTTTTGTTATGTCAGTGCACTACAGTTTAATAAACCATTTCTTCTAAAACTAGACAATTAAGTTGTTTCCAAGTTTTAACTATTTTACATAGTGCTGCAGAAAACATCTTATCTAGGTTGCTGTTTGCTTCTGATTGTTTTCTTGCGATAAACTTCGAGGAGGAGAATTATGTACAGTGACATGGTGCTTTCCAAAATGGTTCTGTGACTTAATCATACCACCAGCAATCAAGAGCACCCGTTTCATGGCAATGTAACCAGCATGGGGAATTATTTTCCGGGGTTTTCTTTTTGCTATCGTTTTTTGCTACTATAGTTAGGTATAAAATGATATAATGGAGTTATTTTAATTGGCCTTTTAGAGAAGTATTATTCTGAGAAAACAAAACCCCCTTTGAAGCTGCTATCTCTTCCTTGATTTCTTCGGCTCTTGCAAATGGTAGGTGCTGGATGCCTTGTGGTGCTGGAGTCTCCAGGCTGGTCGGAAGGCAGCCAACCTGACCTAAGTGGGCAGTGCCAGGCACACAGGCTGTTTCCTGGGAAGAGCAGGCAGACTTGGTTCCACTGGTAAACAACACGTGCCGGCACTGGGGCTCAGAGCTCCTCTCTACATCCTGAGCCTTACACCTGGGTTCCCTTCTCTGTTCTCTTTGGCATTGCTATTTCCCCTGCAGTCAGAACTGAGTCATCAGACTTAGTTCATTCTGGGAAGAGATTCAGAAGGTTCCTGTCAACTCCTCTGCTTTCTCCTGCTCACTTAGGCAGTTTTCATTTTCCTAGGATGACCCAAATCTTCTTCTGTGGGTCATACCCATTAACTTGCCGGCACCATCTGGTTGGCGTCATGTTAGGATCCATTAAGGACAAACAGGAGCTTGTGGCAGAACCTTTCATTGCTATGACCGGGCAAAGTGACAGCTTTGAAAAATGACGCTTAGCCTCATTGACCCAAATGAATGAGTGATTGTCTCTGCCCTGAGGGTGGAGGTTTACCACTTGGTAAGCCAGGCCAATTACGCTTCAGAATGCCACCTCCGTGCCCCTCCGGCTGAGTCCAGGTGATGGCAAGCACATGTGAGCAGAGGACCTCAGATCAGAGCCTCTGGGACCTGCAGCCTCTGGAGTGCTGGTGATGGAATCCACACCATTGCCTGCAGCAGTTGGCCAGGGGGTACCAGCATGTGTGGTGGGCCACTTTGGCCCCTTGGGGAAGTGTCCACAGAGAAGAAGGCCTCCAGCCAGATCTGGACACACAGCCATCCATGAGTCAGACCAGGCCCCACACAAGCCAAACCTGAGGACCAAGACCAAGGACGTCTAAGTGTCCCAGTGGCTATGAATCCAGACCTATCAGACTCGAAAAGCCCCATCTTTTTGATGACCATGTGACCTCCCCTTTTCTTCTTCCCAGTTTAGTTCAAGAGTGCACGTGCCTCTGAGGTTCCCTTACCGAGATGGCTCTCAAAGTTGGGCACATGTGAGAATCCCCTGAGGGCTTGTGAAAATTCAGACTTCAGGGCCCCATCCCCAGCGTTTCTGATTCAGGAGATTTGGAGTGGAACCCAAGAATTTGCATTCTAAGAGGCTACTTGCTGCTACTGAGCCTGCTGGTGTGGGCACCACAGTTTGCCAACAGTGCTTTGTATGTTAATCGTAACATGAACTGGCCAGGTGTGATGGCTCACACCTGTAAACCCAGCACTTTGGGAGGCCAAGGCAGGTGGATCACTTGAGGTCAGGAGTTCAAGACCAGCCTGGCTAACTTGGTGAAACCCCATCTCCACTAAAAATAAAAAACATTCGCCAGGCATGGTGGCAGGCACCTGTAATCCCAGCTACTTGGGAGGCTGATGCAAAAGAATTGCTGTACCTGGGAAGCAAAGGCTGCAGTGAACTGAGATCATGCCATTGCACTCCAGCCTAGGCAACAGAGCAAGACTCCGTCTCAAAAAAAAAAAAAAAAAAAAAAAAAAACAACTCATGACATGAACTGCTCCCGGGTTCAAGATAGATGTAGGGCAGCACAAAACATCCAGGTGTGGCTAGCCTCTGGTTGGGTTATAAGTAAAAAAATGGTTTCTCCCCAGCAGAGCCTCCACCCCTGGAGATGAATGAAATGGAGAGGCTAGTCATGGACACGCACATGCACACACCCCCAGCTGCACAGACAACAGACTTGGGAATCACTGACTCACTCAGAATCTCCATTTCCTCATCCAGCACCCAGCTTTATAGGGAGGGTGAAGAATTCCCAAAAGTAGCTGAATTGAGGGTCCCTCTCCTAACCTGTGAGTCTCTGTCCCCAGGCCTTGTATGGACACACACAGGCTGTCACGTGCCTGGCAGCGTCAGTCACCTTCAGCCTCCTGGTGAGCGGCTCCCAGGACTGCACCTGTATCCTGTGGGATCTGGACCACCTCACCCACGTGACCCGCCTGCCCGCCCATCGGGAAGGCATCTCAGCCATCACCATCAGTGACGTCTCAGTAAGTCTCCTGTTTCTCAGTGTCCGTGTCCTCACCTTCGCAGTAGCATGGGGTACAACACTCAGGAGAAAGCCCAGAGACACAGAGACTCTAGCCACCCCAGAATGCTGAGAGGGCCCCCAATTGTGTGGAACAGTCGCTGTAGATCTCACTTGTAGCACCCAGGTCTAGCTTCAATGTCCGCTTCTTTACTTTCCTCCCTCTGGTGTTGGGGACAGTGGGAAGTGTCTGCTTTGCTGCGGGCACCAGGGGGCTGCAGCTGAAAAATTGGCTTTTAGGGAGGGTTTTGTTGGATGTGGCTGACTCATTTAGGTCTTTACCTTCAAATCAGTGTTGACTTGGCAGGTTTGGTCTTCATGGCAGTGCAAGCTTCTCTGCCTCTCCTTCCATACTGGCTAACAAAGACCAGGGAGATCGACTTACCGGTGTGAAATTTCTTCCAGACTGAAGCCCTGTCATGGGATATGGGGTTCCCTGAGGATGCAGAGGTTTCTGCATCTGCTCACAGAAAACCTAAGGGGCCCAGGGCATAAATAAAATGGGCAGAGGGCTCAAAAGAGGAGGGATGATATAGGAGCTTCCTGGTTCCAATTTTTGCTGAAAGTGGTGCTCCAGGTAGGCTTGAATTCAAAACTGGATTCAATGTTAGATGAGTAGATGGAGTGTGAATGGATGGGTGGATGGATGGGTAGATGAGTGGATGCATGGGTGGATGAATGGATAGATGGATGGACGGGTGGATAGATGAGTGGATGGGTAGATAGATAAATGAATGGATGGATGGATGGATAAATGAGCAGATAAATGGATGAATAGGTGGATGGAAAGATGGATGAAATGGATAATGGATTGGTAGATGGTGGGTGAATGGATGGATGGGTTGATGTATAGAAGGCATTGAAGCCTTCACCTGGGAGAATATAAAACCCATCAGGAATTGTGTCCCTAGACCCCAGAGAAGCCTGGCACCAGGACAAGTTGTCCTGCAGCCAACTGATTTCAGTCTGTGCTTGCTGGTTGTGGGGCAGAGAGGTATCAGACATGGCCTCTGGCCTCAGACAGACCATCCCTAACAATTCAGGAACTTCTAATGGATCCCAGCCCAGTGAGATGTGGAGGGGCACTGAGCACCCTACATCCCTTCTGTGATTAGGGCAAGGCTCAAAGGGATGGCCCCAGGACCTTGGTGACAGTGGCCACTATAGAATAAACAGGACTTGAGGAGGAAAGACTCAAATGTGAGCATATCAGGAGATACAATGGGGAAATTTCTCCTTAGAAATTCCCTCTTCAGGGACATTGCACAAGCTTATGAGCCACATGCAGTCATTGGAACTTCTGTACCCTGCCATCCACCAGGTGGCATCCAAAACTTCTTTATGGGGCAGGGCTGACCTACCAGGTGTAAGCTGTGTGTCCAAAGCCAGGGCTACCCTTCAGGCTGGATCTTCTGTGGCAGTCAGGGTGTGGTTGGGGAGTGGGATCTGGGAGGAGCCTGAGGGTGAGCCAGGTGCCTTCTGCCAGGAAAGAAGTATCTAAGCACATGACTGCAGTATGAAAAGAACCAAGAATTTACAACTGTGTGAAAACACAGCAGACCTGTAAGTCAGCTGGAAAGAAGTTTTGGGGTACCTTGGGGGTCTTCAGAGCATGACAGATTGAGAGTACTTGGGTGTACCAACTGGGTAGCTGAGCAAGTGGCTGATGGGCAGGCAGTGACTCCAGCTTAGAGTGATGCCAGCTCTCACTGCACAGGGCACCATTGTCTCCTGTGCGGGAGCACACTTGTCCCTGTGGAATGTCAATGGACAGCCCCTGGCCAGCATCACCACAGCCTGGGGCCCAGAAGGAGCCATAACCTGCTGCTGCCTGATGGAGGGCCCAGCATGGGACACAAGCCAGATCATCATCACCGGGAGTCAAGACGGCATGGTCCGGGTAGGTGTGTCTTGGGCAGAATGAGGACATGACACAAGAAACGTGTTCATCTCCATTCTTCTCACTTCCTCCAGGGGGCCAAACCTGCAGGTTGCATTTGAGACCATTCCAGAACGGGTACCTACAGCAAAGGAAGGGAAAAGACAAGGCTCTTTGCAGGGAAAAAGTAAATAAATAAAATTATATATATAGTATTACACACACAGACACACACATGCACACACACACAGACACACACTAAAATAAATACTGTTACAACATATAAAAGTTGAATGGTTAAATGCAAAAGATTATATCCCAATGCTAAAAGGAGATATTTGCGTCATCCATTCAAACCAAACTTGCCCACCCATCCACTAATTTATCTACCCACCTACCCATTTATCTCTCTACTCATCTACCCACCCATCCATCCACCCATCCATCTCTCTATCCACCCATCCACTCATCCATCCATCCATCCATCCATCCATCCATCCATCCATCCATGTATCCCTCCATGTATCCATCCATCCATCCATCCATGCAGGCTGAGGTACCTAGGCAGTCCCCTCATAGGACTTTATCTGTGGCCTCTGCAGAAAGCAGGGCATCCTGGGATGGCCTGGGCTTGGTGGGGTGTGGCCCACATCAGTGGGCCAGCCAGAGGAGCCTGGGGTGGCCGAGCTGCAGAGTATATTACTCTCCTGGGCCCCCCCAAAGCGTAAGTGAGGGTCTTCTGTGCACTCAGCACTCATTCATTCGATGTGGTCACTGAGCTCCTGGACTGGCCCAGTGCTGTGCTAAGCCTGGCGTGGGGCTCACAGAAGCATTTGAGAGGAGGCTGGTCCTTGCCCTTTGGTGATATAAAATCCAGACCCAGTGAATGAGAAGCCATTTTGAGTGAGTTGGCCTCAGGGCTCCCACAGTAGGCTTAGCGCCAAGGGCCAGACACAAGATGGGGGTGCCCAGCCACCCAGGGGTGAGGGAGTACTCTAGAGGTGGTAGCATTATGGGCAAGAGGGCATTGGTTGAGCAAAATGGCAATAAACTGGTTGCAGAGTCACATCCCTGCAAGAAAAGGGCTGTGGGGGTCATGAGATGCACTTAGGGACATGGGTGGGGTAAATTCATTCAAGGTGCAACTGTGATTGGCCAAACCTCTGCATGAGGAAGCTGAAGGCTAAATAACCTTTTACCTGATGATAAGTTAACATCAGAAGTGAAAGGGGGGCCATGTGTTCATCCTTTCCCTGGGGGACCCCTAGGCGTGAGGAAATGGACTAGGCCACTCCAAGCTTGCAGACAGGATCGTCTTCCCCGCCGATGACATTTGCTCTTTTGGGGCAGGTTTGGAAGACTGAGGATGTGAAGATGTCTGTTCCTGGACGGCCAGCAGGAGAGGAGCCCCCGGCTCAGCCTCCAAGCCCAAGAGGTACCTGACCTGCTAGGGATGTGGCCGTCCTGGCCTTGCCCTGCCCTCCTCACCTCCCCTCTCTCCACCTCAGCCCAAGGGCTGCAGCTCCTCCCAGGTCTGCCCAGCCTAGGGAGGCCTAGGAAGGCACAGAGAGGTTCAGTGACTTGCCCAAAGTCACCCAGCAAGCAGACTATCCTCACACCTGCTGCCATCACAGCCACAACGGCCTCAGAATAACCTAACCATAGACACTGGCATGTAACCACCATCACCAACCCCTCCATAATGAACACAGGTACAAACCTCCCCATCAAAGCTGTTACCGCATCACATCCATCACAGCTGTCCAGTCCCCGCCCCCATCATTACCTCCTCCAGCTCAGTCTTCAGAAAAGATTCTGGCCGAGAACTGGGACATCTTTACTGGGACCCACAATCAAACATGTTTTCATGAAGTTAGAATTCTATCATCCTGAGTGCTTCCATTAGCTCCCTGTTTGCTCTGCATCCCAGAACCTGTGATCATCCATAGGAGAGAATTTCCCAGATTTCTGAGGGCTGCCTTCTGAAAAGAGTAGACATTTGCAATTAGTTCATTTCTAAAACACAGTCCACACCTCTTTGATTCATTTAGTCACCCATTTGTGGATTCTTCTTCAGGCAAGTACACACAGGCATTTGCTCAGCCTCTACTGTGTCCTAGGCTCTATATTAGTGGTCCCTTCCTTCAAGATAACACCTGGGGACCCTTGTAAACAATCTGGGCTGAGCCAAGGCAATAACATCACAAAGATCAATAATATCACAAAGATGCAGATCAAGAACTCCGTCAGTTCACAGGTTCTGTTTCTCTAGGGTACTTGGAGACCACCACAAGGAGTCAGCCTATCTCAGTGTGAAAGGACAGAAGTGTGTGCATTCTAAGGAACCCAGCACATCTTTGGAAAGCAGAGGCCAAACTCCCTCCCATATCTGCTTCCACTTGGAAAGGCTCTTATTCCCCAGCCTGCTTACAAAGCAGTTTTCTGCTATACCTGCATGAGACTGCACACCATTTTAGTTTTGGGCTCAAATGCCCACTTTTGAAGCTATTGGGGCCCAGTAAGCTAACGGCATTAGCTAAGCCTACGGTTGATGAATGGATGTCTGAGAAAGAATGCTGGATGGATGGGTAAATGGATGGATGGATGGAAGGATGGATGGATGGATGGATGGATGGATGGATGGATGGATGGATGGATGGATGGACGGGTGGATGGATGGATGGATGGGTGGATGGATGGATGAATGGATGAATGAAAGTCACCTCAGAGCCATTCAGTTGATTCTGGCAGTGCCATTGGATTTGCAGGTTCCTATTCAGCATCAATGGTTGTGGTGAGGTTGCACTCACTGGTCATGGGGTCTAGTGAATGAGAAGCAGAGTAAAAAGCAGGAAACAAGGTTCTAGACCCAACTCTGTCACAGCAGCTTCTCTGGTCTTCTGTCAAATGGGGACACTTCCTGTGCATCCTAACTAGTAGAGTACTGATGACAGAATAATAGTAGCCACAGACAAGAATCTACCCCAAATGCAGGTCATTATTGTCATTTTTGCAGGCTTTGAGAGATTTTTCTCTCTGGACACAGCAGCTGATGGCATTAGGAAACTTACTTAAGGGGGTCTTAGACTGACAGGGAGCCCCAGATCCACAACCTTCCTCTCTGTCTGCCCTGACCCTAAGTCTCTGCCACCCCATTGGACTGACTGCCAAGATTGTGATTACAGTTCAAGGGAAGATTAACATGAAATGACAGGATGACATGGACATATTCAAATAATCACACTGGCCTGCAGTTTAGAGTTAACAAATCTAAAATATGTGCAGATTTACAAGCCTAAACTGCTGGAGGTCTCTAATAAAAAGGCATGTTGTTCTTACATTGCTCAAAACTGCTTTGTTGGAAAGGGACCTGTATTGGGCATGGCACGTGGATATTTGCATGTGTGTCCTCTTGGCGTGTATATTACTATACCCCTCAAATGTCTTAAGGGGCAAGAAAGGAGATCTTTGAAGATATTAAGCATACTGCATTTGTGGGCAGATGTAATCCAATTTCTGCTTGGAATTCATTTATTTGCCATTTGCAGCAAGGCCCAACCCAGCTGAGTACAATTTATTTCAGGAATCGCCTCAAAGATTTGGACTCAATCTGGTACATAAAAAGTGCTTGGGAGAAGCTTGTTGTTTAGACTTGTACACAATGTACAAATGCCTGGTGTGCTTTGAGGTGGTTTCTCCCACCTGGACCCCTCATGCATTTCCTGGCACATGGCCTGTCTGCACACATGGGTGGTCACCTCAGGACAGCAGGGGCTGTATCATCTCTCCTGCCCTGAGTCCAAGGAAGTGGCCTCGCAGGGACGTACCCAGCTGGCGTCTCTCCATCTCACCCTTCACATTGAAGGAATTACTGTCTGTCCCCAAATGCAGTCATTAAAATGAGTGAAGTAACAATCATTGAGTTATATTTTTTGAAAAAAACATTCTCAGCATTTAATTACTGGTTGTGGCGTGAGAGGATTAAGATAAGTTGATAATGCCGACTTTATGTAATTTATTTTTACTAGGCAATTACTGGCTGCATTACACCCTGGCAGCAAGGTATTGTGGGGCATCTTATTAAGCATAAAGCCAGTAAACACTGATGAACAATTTTGCTGAACTAGGCATGCAATTTAGAAAGCAATAATACACAAATCCAATTTGGTACACAATGGATACCGAGGCACGTCAGCACATGTAACTATCACCGCCTGCAAATTAAATTGGGACGGCCCTTTTTGCAACAGCACAGGCCAAGATTAAATATATTTCCCCCTCAATTTAACAAGTTGCTGACCACAAATATAAATATGTGCGTATGTGTTTGCGGCCCCGTGTGCAGATGCACACTGTATGTGCGAAGCCGATCTGGCGTTCTAACTCTTCTCTCACATGCTCCACACAGGCCACAAGTGGGAGAAGAACCTGGCCTTGAGTCGAGAGCTGGACGTTAGCATTGCTTTGACAGGGAAGCCCAGCAAAACCAGCCCCGCAGTGACTGCTCTGGCCGTGTCCAGGTAAGCGCGGCCTTGTTTCTCTGGGTCTCCAGCAGAGGGCACTGCAGCCACCTTTAGGAAAGCCCCAGTGGCTCTGAGTCCAGGCCACCTGGCCGAGGAGGCCACTTCACTCCAGGACATGGCCCCACCAAGCACAGGAAGCAGCCCGTGTGGCCATATAGAGCCCCAGGAAACGTTTTTCAGGGTTTTGTTGTTGTTTGTTTTGCTTTTAACTCACACATGCCCTTGCTCTCTTGCTCTTGAATATCCAAACATTCATTAAGAAATCCAAGAGGTATAAGTATATTGTTTTGTAATTTTATCCTAAAGAGAGCCTTTTCCCCTGAGTTCCACTGCAGACTGTAACATTTGGTGTGATGATTATCCTTCATTAACAGAAAGTGCCTTCTGAGGGCTCTTAGCTGCTGTAGCATAGCCAAGCATCAGTCCCGACACTTCATACCCGTTATTTGACTCGCAGTAACCCATGGAGGTGGTTACTGTCATTAACATCCTTGTACACACTGCGAGGTGCAGCCTTAGGGGCCGCTGACCTTGCAGAGCCGGACTTCCTTCCTCCCTCACTGGCGTGGCGTGGGCTGTTCCGGGGTCCTTGGTGGAGGCACTACACAGTGTTTTAGATGCTGGGTGGGGCGGAGTGGAGTGGGGTGGGCATGATGGTAGGGCCAGAGCCGCACTTTTTGCAGAGAACTTGCCATTTGTTCTGCCCTGGTCCTGGCTATTTCTCTGGTGGGACAGGAGACTCACCTGGAGGCACTGGAGAGAGGCACGGCCTCGTCCTGTTCCCTGGGGCCTGAGCTTCCCCACAGTGCTGTGGGAGCCACCACCCTCACAGCTCAATGCTTTCCCCTCCCCCAGGTGGAAACCTTCTCCATTCCTCCCACTGCCTCCCCTGCCTCAAGGGAGACAAGACCAGGGGCAAGCTCCGCTGGGCCCCAGATAGAGCCCCAGAGTTGCAATATCCCATGTGCTGGCGGGGACAAGTGGTACTGTCCCTCTAACGTTCTTGTCTTTTCTTTCTCTTCCCAAGAAACCACACCAAACTCCTGGTTGGTGATGAGAGGGGGAGAATATTCTGCTGGTCTGCAGATGGGTAGGAAGAGAGAGGCAGCAGAGGCTCTGGCACAACAGTGCCAGGCTGAGGGTGGCAGAGGTGACTGGGGCCTGAGCTCTGCCTACAGAAGAAACCCCCAGGGCCTCCTTCCCCACAGTTCTCAAGGAAGGGCCTCTGGCAATCACAGCTCTGCAGCCCAACCCTCTCCATGGCCGATGGGACTTCTATGAAAAGGATGAGCACACACACTCGGAGGGCTGAGCAGCACGCTGGAAACTGTGACTTGGTGATGCCCAGCTGCACACGAAATTACACATGACTCACCTTATTAAGGGCTATTGCACTGAAAAAAAAAAAGATGGGTCGCTTACTGGAAATTATTGTATTGTCTTTATTTTATTAAAGCAACTATGTTTTAAATGCAGAAGGGCTCTTCAGTTTTAAACTGCCACTCTATTCCACTTACCATGCTGCCTTTCTAAGTATTTGTGTTTCTGTCCTGAGAAAGGCAGGAAGGCTTCAGGGAAGCACATCCACCTGCACAGCCTCACCCAGCCCCTCCCCATCTTCCACCTTGGACACTGGCTCTTCCCCGTCTTGCCCATAGTGTAGGGGCCTGAGGAGTGAGGGGCTACTGTGAAGAAGGCCCAGCCTCTGTGGCTGAGCCGCAGGACATGGCGGTGGGTGCTGCCCATGGCAGACTCAGGGAGTTTGGCCTGGGGTGATACACCCGCCTTGGTGATACTCCCACCCCCATCTCCACAACCTGCAACAGACAAGGATTCCAGACAACTCCTGGCTCAGCAGTCTCTTCCCAGGGCCCCGGTCCACACTTGGCTTCCGAGCTGCAGTTCTTCCTGGAGAAATCTGCACTGCTGTGTGACTTTTGTTTTCCACCTGAAAATGTATGGCAGGTGGGGTAGTTACTCGTGCCCCTCTGAAGAATTCCAGTACCTTCTTGTGCCTGGGTCATTCTGGGATTGGTCGTTGGGCATCACAGGTATCACCCTCACTCTAATGTCTCCTCCTTACCCCAAGATTTGCAGAGCTCCTCAAAAGGAAATCCACCTGCCTTTTTAATAAAGTCAAGCTCAGGTGGACACATAGGGACTTGGGGAGGTTAAGCTTGTTAGCTTCAACTAGTCTTTCAGAGATCTCCCTTCTAGGGGCCAGGTGGGGATCCTGATCTTCCCCATGTCTCCAAACTCTGCAAAGGCCCTGAAGGGGGTCCCCACCTAATTTAGCCCAGGCCCAGGGATAGCAGGAACATGCACTTCATGTCTTATGCCCCATGGGTCGTCTGGCCTCCAGGGGGCAACAAGTTGATTAAAAGATAAATATTAAGAAAGTGGAACTGGTGTGCAGCCATGTCAAAAATAGTGAGAGGTGGTTAGCATACCTTGATTCCTCTGTAAACTCTGAGGCTTTGCAAAGGAGAAGATGGAGGAGACCCTTCTCAGGTCCGGAGCACCCCTCCCCGGGTGAGAAGCACTTGTGTCTGACCCCAGAGCCAAGGATCACACCACCTCCCACACCATCTGCACACACTATTAGCAGACAGCCCATTTGCAATCCCCTGGTTGGTCTGGGACTGCACTGAAGGACCATAAATTTAAGAGCAGAGAGCACCACTCCCCAGGAAGGCCAAGAAGCAGGGTCATAAATATCAAGGCTGAGCCTGCTGGCATTTTTCAAAACACATCACAGCATTACCCAAGGCTGACAAGGTCTGCTGGCCAAAAGGCTGTCTTCGATTCCTTCATTTAAGTGTTTTTGCCTTTTCTTCCCCTCAAATCACGGGGAAAATGAGGAGGCAGTGTTGGGTCTTATTGGTGGGGTCCTGGTGATGTGGTGTCTGCAAACAAATGTGACTTGAGGTGAAAGGGCTAAAAAGGAAATCTCAGGCCCTAGGGAAGGCAAAGGGGACACTCAGCTATATCAGTTGGGTGGGGCTGCCATAACAATATTAAACAGAAATTCATTTCTTCAAAGTTCTGGAGGCTGGAAGTCCAAGATCAAGGTGTCACAGGGTTGGTTTCTTTTGAGGCCTTTCTCTTGCTTTGCAGATGACCACCTTCTCCCTGCATCCTCACCTCATCTGTCTTCTGTGCACATCTGTGTCCTCATCTCCACTTATAAGGACGCCAGTCATATGGGATTAGGGTCCACCCATATGACCCCATTTCAACTGTCTCCAAGTACAGTCACATTTGGAGGTACTGGGGGTTAGGATGTCAACATAGAACCACTCCAGGGACAGAATTCAGCCACCTATGGCACTGGCTGAAGGAGGTGGCCCTGGAGCCAGGCCTGGAACCTGCTGAGACAGAGGGACGGGGTTGCAGGAAGACTGGGCTGCATCGGCCAAGGTACAGGGTGAGTCCGGCTGGGTGTGGGAAGAAGAATGGAGGGCACACGGGATGAGGCTGAGAGGTAGAGGGGCTGCTGCTCCTGGCTGTGGAGTAGACTCTGGTTACTGGATGGAGTGAGTGCAAGTGAGGCTGGCAGAGGTGGGCTGCCCACCCGCAGAGCTTCATTCTCCATGCCAGCTCCCAGAATGTGCCCCACAAGAGTCAGCTGAGTAAACGGACATGTAGACGTATGAATGAGTCTTGGTGGCAGACATGTCAGAAAGGGTGGTCCTGGGATGGCAGGGTCAAGCAGCAGCCCCTCCGTGGGCAGGGTGAAGCAAAATGGAGTGAAGAGGTGGGAATAATGAGAGGAAACTGTAAATGTCATGCCCTGGGCCCGGGACATGTCAGGGGAAGAAGCCAGGAGCTTGGGAGCTTGTGGTGAAACCGTGAACGCCGTTGTCAGAAGCTGGAAGCTTTAGAGGCATCCATGAAGCAGGGACGGGCTGTGGGTGAGAATGCCCCATGGAGGAGCTGGGGAGACTGCAGGAGACAGGCTCCATGCTGAGCTGCTCCAGTGGGGTCCTCCAGGATTAGCTCGCATTGCTGGGAGGAGGGAAGCCGCTCTGCACCGAAACCTGGGAGACACATGCACCCTTGGGCCCTCACAGACATGGCCCTGCTGTAGACTCCCGAGGCATCGGAAGCAGAGTCCGCTGCTGGAGGCGAGGGCAGGGGAGCAGTCAAGCCAGGATGGGGCTGCAGAGGAAAGCACCAGGCACAACTGAGGCCCAGGCTCCAAAAGCTCTGGGCAACTCCAGTGACAGGAGGCCCCTGCTGGCCCGAGTGGACTACGATGTCTGGCCAGCAGGGTTGGGGCTCCTGACAGTTGTCAGTGGTTGGGGGAGCCCAGGGCAGAGGCCTGGGGTGCAGGGAGAGGAGAGAACAGGCTCAGCACCCAGGCCCACAGCAGAGGCAGCAGAGGTAGCCAGGGCCGAAGCCAGGGGCACAGCCTGCCTGGGGCCCAGAAGCAGGACCATGCAGACACTGGCCTCACCAGCACACCAGGTCCAGTGGGGACCGGGGGACCCGTCCCAGTGCCACATGGTATCTAGAGGCCTAGACAGGAGGACAGGCATATGCGGTGAGTGGGTAAGGAGGCCAGGCCACCTGAGCACCAGGCCCAGCTCCACAAGTCCCGCCAGCCTTGGCCACAGCTTCTGTATCTGTGAAATGGGATCCTGGTGTCTACCTCAGGGCTCCTCAGGAAAGTAACATCATATCTTCTTATTTTATAATAAAATAAAATAATAGTGGATGAGGCAAACAACAGACTGCCTATTCCGCTGTGACGCAAGCTCTTGGCTGCTTCACTCACCAGTGTTTTCCTTGCTCAGCCAGTCCCTGAGCCAGGGCGCTGGGGATGGAGGAACCCTGAACCTGGGACACAGAGAACATGGGACAGCAGGCTCAAGACATCTGGCAGGCCCCACGCCCAGGGTTAACCAGGCTGGAGCAGGGCAGGCACGCTTCAATTGTGCTTCTTCAGAAATGTCTGGGAAAGGAGGTCCAGCTCTCAGGCTCCCCCGGGCCCACAGACTTTGTGCCTGCTCATGGGGAACAGAAGCCTCAGGCTGCATATGTCACCATCTCCCAGGGAGCACAGGTCCCGGAGTCTCCACTCTGTTGGGAGGAACTCCAGCACTGACAGCAGCAGGCTGGGGTGAGGATGGAGGCAGGCGTTGCTGCCCACCCTGTGGTCTCGGGACAGATGGCCTGTGAAGGGCTTCCCCAGCCTCTGGGGTCAGAAACCCCCATATCCCACTCACTTTTCACGTCTGAGATCAGCTCCTAGACAGCAGCCATGCCCCACTCTCCCCCAGCAGAAGTCCCCTCACGGAACACCCACCTTGGGTCTCTCTGCATTTTCTACATCCTCTAAGAGGCCAGGGAAGGGCAGCCCAGAGCAATTGATGGGCATCCCTCCCACAGCAGGCACCCAGGAAAGCAGGGATCCCGATCGGGCACCACTGTGCTTGCCTGAGACCAGCATCCAGGCGTGCTGGAGTCCCTCTGGGAGACGAGTTCACCCACAAGGGGGGCCGCACGCTCAAGCTGTGCCCATCTCTCCACCTGGACAGGCCTGGCCAGACTGGGACATACTTATGCTAACAAAGTAGTCGTTGCTCATCGGAGATTCAACTTTTTCCAGGTGTCTTGCATTTGTGTTTGCTAAGTCTGGCCGTCCTGCTCCCTTGACCTCTTAGGCGCAGGAAGGATGGTGCCTTGTCAGCAGGCCTGGCAGAACCCATAAGTACTCAGTGTGTGACCCATGAATTGCTTGTATTCAGTGAACTGAAATGCAACAGCAGAAGTTCTTGGAGGGACCATGTGGGACTCTCTGTGCCACTGACCAAGTTTCCAGGGCTTTCTGTGTCCCTCCATGGCGACCTCATGAGAACCACATCCCCCTACCCCAGGCTGGCCTTCTTCTTCCATTCCTTTGAGCTCAGGGATCCTGGGAGAGAAGTTCTGTCCCCTGGAAGCCCCTGTGACAGCAACTTCCTCCCCCTCTGGGGCCTGCAGAGAACTCAAAGATTGGATTTAACCACATTAAAATGCAGCCAATCAGGACACATACGGGGAGGAATAGGCTCTTCATATGAAAATCCTGATGAAATTTGTTTAGCATAAAATCAAATCTCTCTAAACTAAAATCAGTTTTGCTTTAGTAAGTTCTTGGGTACACATCCACATCCCATACCTGGATCAGGGTGTGTGTGTGTGTGCAAGCTCACGTGTGATTGTGTTGTTTCCAATTGTTCTCTTATTGGATGTTGCCTGAAGCACCTTCATGACCTTCTTAGTAAACAGGAAGACCCTCCAAATTGCGTCCTTCCCCTGAGACCCTGAAGGCTCAAAGAACACTGTTGTATCCTGAGCTAAGATCTCTGTCTGCCCCAAAACTGCTTGAAAACTGCCCCACTTGTCCAAGACATTTTACTGCCTTTTGCCAGAAATGCAGCACCATAAATACACAACTCTATGATGACTTGGAAGTGGAATGTGCCACCAAATCATGCAGCACACACTTTGCATCCCTGTGGCCTTTGCCCAGGCTTTAAGCACCGATGGATCTTCACTAAAATCAGTGTGATGATGTTATCTTAACTATCCATCCAAGCACTTGTTCATTCATTCATTCATTTATCCACTAGTATTTAACAAGGATTCACTGCATACCTGTTCCCAGCCAGGCTTGGAGCCTGATGGAGAGAGGCTGTCTGGACACAGATGACTGAAATGTAACCTTCAAGAGTCTCTGGCCATCAGGAGACACACAGACCCTCTAACACTATCACTTTGGACATGTGGAAGCCAGGGTCCAGAGAAAGAAAGGGACTTGTCTAAGGTCACATAGCAGGTCAGTGGCAGAACCTGGTCAAGGCTCCAGGTTTACTCCCCACCCCCAAACTGTAGTACCAAGTGCCTAAGGCCTTGTGTTCCTTAGGATGGGCCACTGGCATAATGAAATCCAAATAGCCTGCCTCTCCCTGGAGCTTTGGATGTCAAGAACAGCTGGCTCTCCCCACCTCAAAATGAAGCACAAAGGAAGAAGGAAAAGTTCATATGCTTTTGAAAAATAGAACAAAATGCATCGGAATCTTTGTGTCATAGAGGCCAGCTTGAATTCCTCCTGCAACAAGGAGCTCACTACTACAGGAAGCAGCCCCCCGTGACAGCAAGGCTCATTCTTGCTGGGAGCACAGGTCACGCAGGCCCCTCCATGAGGCAGCCTCAGCCTCAGAGCCCCTCAGGGCAGAGGCTTCCTCCTCCTCCTTCTCCTCCTCTTGCAGAGATCACCAGGAGGCCAGTTGCTCTCACAGTCCCCTCTGCGGCACCTCCAGGCTCTTGGGGCTTTGCACACCCTCAGCCTCAGCTGTCTTTTCCTATGCTTATTGTTTTATAAAATAGAAGTAATAATTACTGACTTCATAAGTTGCTTGGAAAGTTAAAATGACATAACTCTGTGTCAAGTTCTTAGTACAGAGCAGGAGCTCAGGAGGTAATGATGATGATGGTTATCAGTATAAACGTAGTTTATGACACAGGGCCTGGTAAGAGAATAGTGACTTCCTTTTCATTTCTTCTCTCCCTTTCAGAGGCATTGCCCCCTCATTCAAATGTTCACCAAATATTTCTCATTCCCATACCACCTTCAGGATTTTTTGACAACACCTGTACAACAATATTCTTAGTGTTTGTCATTAACTTCACTATTTTTTCAAAACTGAAACCTCACCTAAGCAATAATGTCTGTGAAATCACAGGTTGGATATACAGTCTATGTTTTTCTAACTACATAAAATGGATAGAAAAAATGCTTGTCTATGCCTGCCTTACAAGCATCTCATGGTGCTTTAGGGGGTCCCTAAGCCACACTCTGGGAGATCTGCCCTAACCCAAGATGCTGGGGTAGGCATGTGTTTTGTTGGAAAGCAGATGGCCTAGAAGAGGCCCTAGGTATGTCCACCCGAGCTAGGTGAGCTCAGCCGGAGCAGAAAAGGGACCCACTGATCCCCACCTGTCATGGCGTGCCTTCCATTGCACCTGGGAGAAAGAGGCACGGGGCTGTGGTGCATGTTTACAGGCCGATCCCTGGGTTCCAGGCCTGCCTTTCTTTCAAGAGCTAGGTAACTTTGGGGGAAATTGACTGATCTACCAGCTCGTCAGTGTGTTCTGCAAAACAGTAATCAGGGAACCATTTCGTAGGGCTTTTGTGAGGATCTGAGGAGAAATTGCATGTGAGGTGGGAATCCAGCGCCTGGAACTTGGGACGTGCTCAGTTATGCAATAATGACAATGAAAGTTATCATAACCATTATTATAAGATCATGTATGTCCAGTATCTGTGTGGCCAACATCAGGAAGGGAATATCTTTCTACCAGTTGCTCAGGCCGAAAACCTCTGAGACATCTCTGAGTATGCCCCTCCCTCATGCCTCACGTCTAAGCTCTCAGGACATCTCAGCCCCAAAAAACTGTCAGAAATTGAAACTAAAATCTCAATACCACTTAGAAACACATCAGAAATATGAACCACTTAGGACTAATATGACTAAAATACATATAATCTGAAAACTACAAAAACATTGTTGAGGGAAATCAAAGACCTAAATAAATGGAGAGCTACACCGTAGCCATAGATTAAGAGACCCAATACTATTGAGATGTCAGTTCTCCCCAAATTGAGCTACAGATTCTATCTAACCCCAGTGAAAATTACAATGGGCTTTTTTGTAGAAACTGACAAACTAATTCTGAAATTCATATGAAAATGAAAGGATCTAGAATAAGTTAGAGCCTAAAAACATTGAATGAAGAACAAAGTTGGAGGATTTACATTATGTGATTTCAACTTATTAGAAAGCTTCAGTAATAAAGACAGTGTGCTTTTGACATTGAGGACAGAGAAATCAATGGAACAGAATGGAGTCCAGAAACAGACCCATGTGTGGTCAACTGGCTTTGAAAAATGTGCCAAGGAAATACAGTGGAAGAAAGAGCCCTTTCATCAGACAGCGTTGGAACAGTGAGGATCCATGTGCAATGAAAAAAACAGAACTGTGACCAACACCTCATGCCATCAAGAAAAATTAATTTTAAATAAATTTTAGACCTAAAAGTGAAACTTAAAATTATAAAATTTCTAGAAGAAAACCTAGGAAAACTTCTTTGTAAACTGGAGTTATTTAAATCACCCATTAAGAAAAAAAAATGATGAATTGAACTTTGTCAGACTTAAGATCTCCAGGTCATTGAAAGCCACTGTATTACTCAGGGTTCTTTAAAGGGGCAGAACTAATAGGATATATATATATATATATATATATATATATATATATATATATATATACACACACACACACACACACACACACACACACACACACACACATACATATATATGCATACATATATACATACATGTATATATATACACACCTACCTATATGTATACATATACATACATATATGCATCTATACACACACATACATACATATATGTGTGTGTGTATATATATATAAAGGGGAGTTTATTAAGTATTAACTTACATGATCACAAAGTCCCACAATAGGCTGTCTAAAAGCTGAGGTGCAAGGTGAGCCAGTCTGAGTCCCAAAACTGAAGAATTTGGGGTCTAATGTTTGAAGGCAGGAAGCATCCAGCATGGGAGACAGATGTAGGCTGAAGGCTAGGCCAGTCTCACCTTTCACGTTTTTCTGCCTGCTTTATATTTTCTGGCAGCTGATTAGATTGTGCCCACCAGATTAAGGGTGGGTCTGCCTTCCCCACCCCACTGACTCAAATATTAATCTCCTTTGGCAACACCCTCACAGACACACCCAGAATCAATACTTTTTTCAATCCAATTAAGTTGACACTCATTATTAACCATCACAAGGCCACCCCTTGTCAACTTGAACCCACACACATCTCCTGATATCATACATAATCTTCAAATAAAGAAAACAATAAGGTCATAATTACACCTAACTTAATAAAACTATCCTTTGTACAACCGGAAACACACCAATCCCCAACCCAAATACTATTACCTGAAGTTAGCAACACTTAAATGCTGACATGAAGTCAATAAATCTTATGTCACATGTTAAAGAAAAAGGAAATAAAATGAAGATATTTTCTTAGTACAAGTGTATACATGCACAAACCTGTTTTTAACGAAAGAAGGAGGAAACATTCATGACAGGTACAGTCCTCGTTTCTGCAGCTGGTCATGTAGTTGTAGCTGGTATCTATGACTACCTTCTTCAACTACCCATTCTGGATTCCCTCTGCCTTCAGCAAGCACCTCAACAGGTCGTGGTTTTTTTCCTGGTAGAGTGACCCAAACCTTCACTCCTGAGGGGTCTGGGTCATTTGTAGTCCTGCCTGAATTGGGCTGTTGTAGTTTCCCATTGATCTTAATCACAGCGCATGGTAATACTAGGAGACACCCAAGTGGATCTCCTGTATTCTTCCTTACCTCTGTTATGCATACTCTTCCTTACCTCTGTTATGGTGTAGCAGACTGATTTCATCTTGATAGTCCGGGTCAATCACCCCAGTCAACATTGTAACTCCCTTCTTAGCCTGTTGAAGGAGCCCAAAGTGTCCAGGTACAATCTTAACTTTCAGTTTAATGGAATTGTTGTTGTGTTTCCTGTTGGCAGTGTTCCTCTCTCAGGAACTAAGACCGCTAGGCCACCAGAATGTAATGTCATGGGAACAGGAAGGAAAAATTTTGTTAGTGGATCACTAGGGGTGATGGTGAGCGGTGCCACTTCCATTTCCACCCCCTGATTCTTGGGCCTATGAATCCTGGCTATAAGAGAAATAGTGCCATATATTGGACACTGATTCAGAGCATACATGGCCTTCTAGAGAACCTTGTCCCAGCCCTGCAAAGTATTGTCACCTAGCTGGCATTGTAATTGTGACTTCAAAAGTCCATTTTTACCGTTCTATCAATCCAGCTGCTTCAGGATGATGGAGAACGTGGTAAGACCAGTGAATTCCACGAGCATGAGCCCACTGCTGCACTTCTTTAGCCACAAAGTGAGTGCTTTGGTCAGAGGCAATGCTGTGTGGAATACCTTGATGGTGAATAAGGCACTCTGTGAGTCCGTGGATGGTAGTCTTGGCAGAAGCATTGCATACAGGATAGGCAAACCCATATCCAGAGTAAGTGTCTATTTCAGTGAGGACAAATCTCTGCCCTTTCCATGATGGAAGAGGTCCAATATAATCAACCTGCCACCAGGTAGCTGACTAATCATCCTGAAGAATGGTGCCATATAGAGGGCTCAATGTTGGTCTCTGCTACTGGCAAATTGGGCACTCAGCAGTGGCCATAGCCAGGTCAGCCTTGGTGAGTGGAAGTCCATGTTGCTGAGTCCATGCATAACCTCCATCCTGGCCACCATGGCCACTTTGTTCATGGGCCCATTGGGCGATGACAGGGGTGGCTGGGGAAAGAGGCTGAGTGGCATCCACAGAAACAGAATGGGTCATCCTATCCACTTGATTATTAAAATCCTCCTCTGCTGAGTTCACCCGTTGGTGAGTGCTCACATGGGATACAAGCATCTTCATGGTTTTTGACTACTCCGAGAGGTCTGTCCACATACCTCTTTCCCAAATTTCTTTGTCACCATTTTTCCAATCATGCTTCTTTCAAGTCCCTGACCATCAAGCCAAGCCATTGGCTACAGCCGATGAATCAGTATATAATCGCACATCTGGCCATTTCTCCTTCCATGCAAAGTGCACAACCAGGTGCACTGCTCAAAGTTCTGCCCACTGGGAAGATTTCCTTTCACCGCTGTCCTTCAGGGATGTCCTAGAAAGGGGCTATAATGCTGCAGCTGTCCATTTTCGGGTGGTGCCTGCATATTGTGCAGAACCATCTGTGATGGTTCTCTTCCTCCTTCTGTCATCTGATCATAGGGAACTACCCATGAGGCCATCGGTGCAGGCTGGGGAAGAGAAGGCAAGGTAGCAGGAGTGGAGACCATGGGCATTTGAGCCACTTCCTCATGTAACTTACTTGTGCCTTCAAGACCCACTGGAGCCTGCTCACGTATATGCCACTTCCACTTGATGATGGAATGCTGCTGTGCATGACCCACTTTATGGCTAGATGGATCAGAAAGCACCTAGTTCATGATAGGTAGTTCAGGTCTCATGGTGACTTGATGACCCATAGTCAAACGTTCAGTTTCGACCAAAGCTCAGTAACAAACCAAGAGCTGTTTCTCAAAAGGAGAGTAGTTATCTCCAGAAGATGGCAGAATCTTGTTCCAAAATCCTAGAGGCCTCTTCTATGATTCATCTAAAGGGGCCTGCCAAAGGCTCCAAACAGCATCCCTATCTGCCACTGACACCCACGCAACATTGGATTGCTGGGTCATATGGCTTAAGTGGCAGAGAAGCTTTCACAGCAGCCTGGACCTGTTGCAGAGCCTTCTCCTGTTCTGGACCTCACTCAAAACTGTCAGCCTTTCGGGTCACTAGATAAATGGGCCAGGGTAACACACCCAAATGAGGAACGTGTTCCCTCCAAAACCCAAATAGGCCCACTAGGCATTGTGCCTCTTTCTTGATTATAAAAGAGGCCAAATGCAGCAACTTATTCTTCACCTTAGAAGGAATATCTCAACAGGCCCCACACCACTGGAACCCTAGAAATTTTACTGAGGTAGAAGCTCCCTGAATTTTAGTCAGATTTATTTCCCATCCTCTGGCATGCAAATGTCTCACCAATAAGTCCAGTGTGTTTGCTACTTCCTGCTTATTGGATCCAATCAACATAATGTCATCAGTGTAATGGACCAATGTGATATCTTACAGAAGTGAAAAGCCATCAAATTCTCTCCTAATAAGATTATGACACAAAGCTGGAAAGTTGATGTACCTCTGAGGTAGGACAGTAAAGGTATATTGCTGGCCTTGCCAGCTGAAGGCAAATTGCTTCTGGTGGGCCTTATGGACAGGAATGGAGAAAAGGGCATTTGCCAAGTCAATGGCTGCATACTAGGTACCAGGAGATGTATTAATTTGCTCAAGCAATGAAACCACATCTGGTACAGCAGCTGCAATTGGAGTCACCACTTGGTTAACCTTACAATAATCCACTGTCATTCTCCAAGATCCATCTGTCTTCTGCACAGGCCAAATGGGATAATTGAATAGTGATGTGGTGGGAATCACTACCCCTGTGTCTTTCAAGTCCTTGATGGTGGCACTAATCTCCGCAATCCCTCCAGGGATGCAATATTGTTTTTGATTTACTATTTTTCTCATTATTTTTCTAGATAGAGGCAGCTCTAATGGCTTCCATTTGGCCTTTCCTACCACAATAGCCCTACCCTACCAGTCAGGGAGCCAATGTGGGGGTTCTGCCAGCTGCTAAGTATGTCTATGCCAATTATGCATTCTGGGGAAATGACCACAGGATGAGTCTAGGGACCCACTGGATCCACTTTAAGTCAGACCTGAGCTAAAACTCCATTAATTACCAACCTCCATAAGCCCCTACTTTAACTAGAGGACCACAGTGAAGTTTTGGGTCCCCTGAAATCAGTGTCAGCTCAGAGCCAATATCCAGTAGTCTCCCAAATATCTGATCATTTCCCTTTCCCCAGTGCACAGTTACCCTGGTAAAAGGCCAGAGGTCTCCTTGGGGAAGGATGGGAGAAAGACTCATTGCATAAATTGTCAGTAATGTAGTGGGATCCTTCCTCAAGGGGACTTGGCCTCCATTCATTCAAGGGGTTATGGGTCTGTAAACTGGCTTACATCTGGAAATTGATTGAGAGGCTGTGATTCTTTGTTTTTATAACTCAAATTAGTCCTTTGTCCATAGAAGTTTTCTGCTTGTATAAATTAAGTAGGAATGCAGTATACTTCCCATCAATTTCACTTCTAGGTACACTGTGATTAATTAGCCAGTGCCAGAGTTCTACATGAGTCAGGCTATTCTGATTGTCGCTTTGCCTCTGCTGTCCATTATGGTAGCTATGCCCACCTTGCCTTTGATGATTGAGTGCCGCCACTTGGCTTCCGCCCCCTCGGGATCCACCTATTCCCATTGTATTTAAATTTTGTAGATGAGTGACTGTGGTTCCCACCATTAGATCTGGCATGCATAGGAGAGCAATTACGGGGCTCTTCAAACATGCAGGTGCTGCCCTTGCAAATCTATCTTGCAAGGCATGGGTCAAGGATATATCTTCTGGACCCTCACAGCTTTGGATGAGTAGGTCTAAAGTGACTAATCCACTCCACCATCCCAATCTCCCTAAGCCTTTGGATCCCTTCCTCTACATTAAACCAAGGGAGATCACGCATTTCCAGCTCATTCACAGTGGGCCATCTTTTAATCCATATTTCAGCTAACCAAGCAAATAAACTATTAGAATCTTTTTTTAACTCCCTAAGCTGCAACATTAAAAGCAGAGTCCTGGCTGGGCACGGTGGCTCACGTCTGTAATCCCAGCACTTTGGGAGGCCGAGGTGGGAGGATCAGGAGGTCAGGAGATCGAGACCATCCTGGCTAACATGGTGAAACCCCTTCTCTACTAAAAATACAAAAAAATTAGCTGGGCTTGGTGGTGGGCGCCTGTAGTCCCAGCTACTCGGGAGGCTGAGGCAGGAGAATGGCATGAACCCGGGAGGCGGAGCTTGCAGGAGCCAAGATCACGCCACTGCACTCTAGCCTGGGTGACAGAGCAAGACTCTGTCTCAAAAAAATAAAATAAAATAAAAAATAAAAATAAATAAATAAAAGCAGAGTCCCTACTTAGCAGGCCCAAATCAATAAATTCAGTCTGATCCAACTCTGTGTTCCTTCCACCATTATCCCATAAACTTAATACCCATTTCCATGCCTGTTGTCCAGATTTCTGTTTATATAAGTTAGAAAATTCAAGCAATTCTTTTCCAGGGAGGTGCACCTCCTCATGGGTCACACTCTCAATCTCACCTCCAGGGGCCCACCAGGACTTTAGTCTAGTTATAGGTCTAGAAGCAAACGGGGTGTTGCAGGTGGTTCCTGAGGAGAATCAACATTATTTTGCCTGGCAACGGCCTCGTGGGAGGCCTCACTGTTGCTTCAGGCAGTGCAGGGTTTATCTACTTAGACAAAGGTGAAAGGCTGATGGCAGCATGGGTCAGAGGGGATGTTGCCACTACTGGGGATGGGGAAGCTGTTTCTTCTGGCAAGAAATGTTCATCAGAGTTTACAAACTCAATGTCCCCAGCTTCATCAGGGTCCTCACACATGTCCCCATTCCAAGTTGCAGGGTCCCATTATTTTCCAATCAATGCCTTCATTTTAACAGTAGATGCCTGCATGCACCTTTTATTGCAGGTCACCCACCTGCATAATAAGAGCTTGTGCCTGTTTTTCCATAATTTCAGCTCTTTCTCTATAAGAGATAAGGGCAATCTTAGCAGATTTGAGGCTCAGTATCTGCTTCTAAAGCCAGGAGGCAGAATCCCTGAGTTCATTTTCTTTGATCACTTTGTCCACTGAACTTAGGAGCAACCAACCAGCTTAACTATGTTCCCTGGTTTTCCACATACAGTCAAATGTATTATGTACAGAGTCACTAAACTCCTTGGCTCTCATGAGCGGTGAATCAGGAGTGTCAAATGCATTTATTTTGCATAACTCTCTTAACAGTTCAAGCCAAGGACTATCAGTGTTCGCCATACTATTACAAGTAGAGTCCTTAGCATTTTTGGGTCTAATCATATTAAGCAGCCAACTCCAGAAATCCCAAAACCAACAAAAGAACTCCATCCTTAATATTCTGTTCCTCTAGAACCACTCCTGGTACCAAAGTCTGTATTAGTCAGGGTTCTTTAGAGGGACAGAGCTAATAGGATATGTATATATAATAAACTATTATATATATGTAAAATAAGCTATTTTACATATATATATGAGTTTATTAAGTATTAACTTACATGATCACAAGGTCCCACGATAGGCTATCTGCAAGGTGAGGAGCAAAGAGAGCCAGTCCAAGTCCCAAAACTGGAGAATCTGGAGTCTGAGATTCCAGGGCAGGAAGCATCCAGCACAGGAGAAAGATGTAGGCTGGGAGGCTAGGCCAGTCTCGTCTTTCACATTTTTCTGCCTGCTTTATATTTGCTGGCAGCTGATTAGATTGTGCCCACCAGATTAAGGGTGGGTCTGCCTTCCCCAGCCCACTGACTCAAACGTTAATCTCCTTTGCCAACACCCTCACAGACACACCCAGGATCAATACTTTTTTCAATCCAATTAAGTTGACAATATTAACCATCACAGACACTGTTAACAAAAGAAAAAGTTGAGCACAGAGAGAAAATATTTGTAAATAATTTATCTAACCAAGGACTTGTATGCAGATTATATTGAAAACTTCTCAAATCTAGTAATAATAGCACAGTAAAAGAAACATTTAAAAGGTCTGAACAGACACTTCCTAAAGAAGATATCCAGGCAAACAGGCACATGAAAAGCTGCTCAATATAATTATCACTAGACAAATGCAAATTAAAACCAAATGACATGCCACAACTCTATAAAAAGGGCTAAAATGAAAAAGACTGACCATACTGAGTGTTGGCAAGGATGCGGGGAAACTGAAATTCTTTTAAACTGCAGATGAGAATGTGTAATGATACCCACACTTTGCAAAACAGTTTGGCAGTTTCCAGAAAGATCAACACTGCCCTCAGAGCATGAAAACAGCCAGAGACAACACATGAATGCATATGTGAATGAGGGCGGCTGTGTCCTGATGCCACTTTATTTACTGTGGACACCGAGCTTTTGCATCATTTCCACATGTCACAAAATATTATTCTTCTTTTGATATGTTTCCAAAGATTTAAAAATACAAAAGCCATTCTTAGCTTTGGGGCTATATTGAAATGGGACTGTGGTTTCCAGCCCCTGTTCTTGAATAAGTTCCCAGGGCAACCCTGCGAAGAGCATGGAAAGCCCTGGGCACAAGCTCGATACTCAGGGACCAAGGCAGCAAACTCGGCTCCAGGTGGGGAGAGGCACCTTCTCCCCATGGGAAACACAGTGTGATTGGGGCTCAACAAGACTGAGGGGCACATGCAGAGCAGTCAGAGGGGGCTCAAGCAGCATGTCCAGTGCAAAAGTGGGGTCCTCAAGGGGGTGGAGGTATGTGACATTCACAAGGAAGATGCAGCATCCTTCAGGATCCTGAAAACCAGATCCTGAGGGCATGGGACACCCCCAGACAATGTCCTAGAACTGAAGGGCCCTATCTGGACAACCCACCCTTGTACAGTAGGGAATACAGCTCATAGAGGAGGGACATTCCCACCCCTCCCTCAAGGCTCCCTGGTGGAGCCTGGGGACTTTGGTGTCACATGGTGAGAGTAAGCAGAATCCTTCTCACCAGTATTGGGGGGGCTCAGTTCTTAAGACGCTTGTGGTGAGCAAGGGATTGGCCAGTTGTTCACCTGGTCCTTTGAGTCTCGGCGGTCAGTGGTGACGACCCCCAGCAGCTGGGGCAGGGGCACCCAGCCTCCCAGTCTCTTGGGGCCGCTGGACCACAGCAGGGTCACAAACTGGTGGTTTGGGGGACCAGGTAGAGCCTGCAAGTGTATTCTGTTTGGGCTACACAGTGAGAGTCATTACTTGGGGGTTGAAAGCCTTGGAGAGACTTGGATAGCCTTTCCAGTTTGCAGCAGAGCCTGTCATTTCCTACTGCTTTGTTTTTGCAGGCTACTTCAGGTGTGGACAATATTAGACTTGCCCCAGATCCTGTTTTATTTGACAAACCTGGGCAACACCTCAGGGAGATTCAGGGCTTGGGGACTGTGCAGAAGCCCTCATCTCGCTGTGATCCTCACTTCTTGGGTGTAAAAAGAGAACACTCACAGCATTGCCCTGACCTAGGCTCCTTAGAGCTATGATTTGCACACATTTCTAAATAATTTGCAGGAGCAACCCACTCCACAATTCATTCTACATTTACTCATAATTATTTATTAAACACCTTGTCTTCCTAGGTGCCAAGGTACAAGGGTGAATGAGGAAGATAAGGCCCCAGCCCACAGGATTTTACAATCTAGTCCTGGAGGCAGACCAGGAGAAAATGAAAAGCTCACATCTAGTGAGGAGCACTGTGCAGGAGCTGGTGCCCCGTGAAATGGGACATGTGGGACACACCAGGAAGGCGGTGAGGGGTGCCTGTCAGAGGACTGGGAGCTGCAGGGCAGAAGGGCATAGATGCATGCTATCTCATCTCATCTTCATGCATTGCAGCCAGTGAAACTGATGCTCAGAGATGCTGAGTGCCAAGTCCAAGCTGAGAGGGCCTGGATTCAGGGAGTCTATCTCCCCAACTGACACCATATTGCCGCAAAGAGCTCCAAGTCCTGGTCAGGAATTCCAACAGTGCTGAGCCTCCAGGTGGGACTCTTAGCTCCAGGGTCCTTTCCTTGGCTCTGAGACATGACCCTCCCTCTTCCTCCCCTGTCCCTCTCTCACCTGTGCTCCCACTGCCCTCACACAGGCCACCTGAATAAGACATGGCCTAGTGGGGGGTGAGGAGTGGGGTGGTACTTTGTGTTTGCTTCCCTGTGGACAGTCCGATCACCAACATGGGGGACCCTGCCTGACTCCTGCTGCAGTGCCAGTGCCAGGCCCAGCCCACTGCAGTGGCAGAGGGGCCATGGACCAGTAGAGGGGCCCAGCTCCCTCAGTAGGGTCCTGGGTGTGGGGAGGTGGCATCCTTTCCACAGGGGGCATAAGAACTTGCCCTGCCTCTTCCCATAAGCTGCCCAAGGAAGGCTGCTCATCCCACCTGAGTTGCAGGGGAAGAGGATTCAGGGAGAGGAGGTTCTGCACCACAGCACTAACCGACCATGTCTGTACGCTCTCTGACTCCCCAATGCATCTGTGAGGGCCTCAAGATCAGAAATCACGTCCTGTTTATGTCTCCCCTGCCTGTTCTGCCTAGTGAGGCTTGGCCCCATGGGGGTGCTCCATAAGGCAGATCGAATGAATGAATGAAGAATGAATGAATGACAAACTGAAAGGAGGCCTCCACATCACTACAAAGCACCTTGCCAAGGGCAGGCTAATGGTCATTGCAGGCAGCGCTGCTGTGGCTGATCTCAGCAGGGGCGTCTCCAGCCCTGTGCCGTGCCACATGCCAGGGGACAGCAGGCATGAGAGCTGGGCACGGGTGAGCAAGCAGAGAAGGACAGAGATGCCAAGAGACAGAGTGGGTAGTGTGCTGGGAGCAGGGGGCTGCTGCCTGGTCCCCTTGGGGAGGGGGGGCCCTTTTGAGACAGGGCCTGGGCAGGGCACACGAGGCCTGGAAGTCAGCAGGCCCAGTGGAGGCCTTGCCAAGATGGGCAGACTCATAGCAGCCACACCAGCCAGGAGCACCCAGCGTGGCTAAGATGCAGCTTTTGGAACAGAACAGACTGCGGCTCATGTCCCAGCTTTGCATATCTCTAGCTGAGGAACTCGTGGAACCCTGTGTGACCTCTCCAAGCCTCAGTTTCTGTGTCTGTAAAATGTCAATGAGCATACCCAATCCCGTTGGAAGATGAAAATGTGTAGAGTGCAATGCGTGCATTCCCCTAGCTGGGTGCCTGGCCCAGCCAGTAAGTGGTGAAGATGGCCTTGCAGAGCATGCTTGTCACCCAGCCACCCACCATGGCCAGGCTGGAGCCCTGGGCTGCCCACCCCCTTCACAGATATCACAACCTGGAGTGGTGGCCTCTTTCCTTCCCTCCCTCCCTTAACACATACACCATATACTCAACATGTATTCATTAAGTGGTTACTATGCCTTGGCACTGGAGATACAGAAGTGAATAATAAGCAAAAGCCCCAGCCTGCAATCTGCTTGCATTCTTCTTAGAGAGACAGACAAAAAATACAGAAGCATCAAACCGCGTATGTGAGGCGCCACTCTAAGGAAGAAAAACAAAATGCTAAACTAGCAGGGAAGGGCGAGGCAGCACTGGGGAGAGAAAATGTGATAAGGTGGTCAGGGACGGCCTCCCCAATAGGTGGCATCTGGGAGCTGGAGAAATGAGGGTGTGGCCATGTGGGAGTCCTGGGAGAAGATTCCAGGCGCCGGAGTGAGCAGTGCCATTCCTGGGGCAGGGGCCATTCTGAGAAGCAGCAGGGAGGCGCTTGCAATTCGGGGCAGTAATGGAGAGTGGCAGGAACTGGGTCAGAGAGGAAATGGGGGGAAACAGAAGGCCACTCACCCAGGTGGTCTCTGGTGCAGACATGGAGAAGGGCAGGCACAAGTGGGAAGCGGGAGCAGAAAATGCTGCCGGCCACACCAGGTGATCCTGGCCTCGCTCTATCTCACATCCTGAGAAGGTGGCTCCTGGCTTTGCCCAACAAGGCAAAAGTGCCCCCACCCACCCCACCTCAGCTTACCCTGGCCCCCTCCCTGGCCATTCCTCTGGTCCCAGGGGCCCTCGCACCCCACACAAGTGAGAGCCATCCCGAGTCAGGGCACAGTGCTGTTGACATTCACTGAACTGGGAGGGCCTCTTTTAACCTCCTCTCCCCTTGTAGCTGGAGGTCATGCCCCTGGCAGAGCCCCAACCATGCCTCTTCCCAGAGCAGCAGCACTCTCTGCCGGGGAGAAATTCTCCTGGCCGACTCCAGGCAGAGCCCAGGGCCGTGCGTGGGGATCACTGTGAAAAATAACACAGTTGGTGAGCTTCGCCATTTCCTGTACAACACATAATTAGGTTAGATAAGAAACTAGCTGTGTCTAAGTGCTATAAATGTCTATATTAAGCTATTTTGAAAGTGCCGAGCACTTTGACATTTGAGAGTTCAGAGTAATTGAGGTATTGAAATAAAATTGCTTCTGTTATTTAAAAGGTCATTATCGTCTTCAGCTAGATATATGAGGACTATTTTCCACTCTAGTGAGCCGTTCTCTCAGGCACAATTAGCATCGCTTGAGCAGAGATCTGCTGGGGAGGCTCCCACCCGGCAGCCCCCGCCAGAGGCCCCAGGCAGCCATTAAGACCCAGGGAGCACAGGGAAGCAGAGGAAAGCCTCCGACACCCAGAATCCCGGCTGCCTAGGGAGAGCCACCACTGCCCAGCCCACACCGGCTGTGGACTGGTCCCTGCGCAGGGGCTTACTGTGCAGTTCTGCCTCATCCTCAGAAAAGTCTTCAAGGATGCCATCATTGTCAGAGCATTGTGGGTGAGGAAACTGAGGCCCCAGGTTGGCCACATGCAGTGAAGCAGCAGAGGGTGCAGCCAGCAGGCCCAGGAAGGGAGATCTGCACTGAAAGCCATGCCCTGAGCACGGAGCAGGCCCAGACAGGGGCCTGACATGTGCTGGTCACTTTCACCAGACCCCTGAGCCCTTCCCCGCTCAGGGCTCACATAGCATTGCTTCAAGGATCCAAATCAGGTACAAACCTCAAACACCTACTAGGATGTTCTACTATAAAAACCAAATATTGCAGCTTTTCTCATTCAAGCCACTTCAATCCCACCTTATCATTGAGTTAGATAAATAGAATGGTCTTAATTACAAATTAGATACCTAATTTAGTGACTAATTTAGTAACTAAATTTTATCCTTGGTTATCATTAATTGAATATATCACAATTTCTAAATGTCCCTCAAAGAGAACATTGACTTCCAAAGACATCTTCATTGCCACAGTGTGGGACTTCGTGCTCCTGAAAGGCGAGGAATGGCAATGACAGCAGCCCGGGCACATGAGGGGTTTTCACAAAGCTCGTAGAAAATGCTTATGATGAAAAAACTATGATGCATTTCAAATTTTTTGCATCATAATAAAGTCATAATAACTCATTATAACATTTTTGAACAGCATCTAGTTTGAGACACTAAGAAGGATCAGACATCAGTTTGAAAACCACTGCTCAATGAAATAAAAGAGGATACAAACAAATGGAAGAACATTCCATGCTCATGGGTAGGAAGAATCAATATCATGAAAATGGCCACACTGCCCAAGGTGATTTATAGATTCAATGACATCCCCATCAAGCTACCAATGACTTTCTTCACAGAATTGGAAAAAGCTACTTTTAAGTTCATATAGCACCAAAAAAGAGCCTGCATTGCCAAGTCAATCCTAAGCCAAAAGAACAAAGCTGGAGGCATCACGCTACCTGACTTCAAACTATACTACAAGGCTACAGTAACCAAAACAGCATGGTACTGGTACCAAAACAGAGATATAGATCAATGGAACAGAACAGAGCCCTCAGAAATAATGCCACATATCTACAACTATCTGATCTTTGACAAACCTGAGAAAAACAAGCAATGGGAAAACGATTCCCTATTTAATAAATGGTGCTGGGAAAACTGGTTAGCCATATGCAGAAAGCTGAAACTGGATCCCTTCCTTATACCTTATACAAAAATTAATTCAAGATGGATTAAAGACTTAAATGTTAGACCTAAAACCATAAAAACCCTAGAAGAAAATCTAGGCATTACCATTCAGGACTTAGGCATGGGCAAGGACTTCATGGCTAAAACACCAAAAGCAATGGCAACAAAAGCCAAAATTGACAAATGGGATCTAATTAAACTAAAGAGCTTCTGCACAGCAAAAGAAACTACCATCAGAGTGAACAGGCAACCTACAAAATGGGAGAAAATTTTTGCAACCGACTCATCTGACAAAGGGCTAATATCCAGAATCTACAATGAACTCAAACAAATTTACAAGAAAAAAACAAACAACCCCATCAAAAAGTGGGCAAATGACATGAACAGACACTTCTCAAAAGAAGACATTTATGCAGCCAAAAAACACATGAAAAAATGCTCACCATCACTGGCCATCAGAGAAATGCAAATCAAAACCACAATGAGATATCATCTCACACCAGTTAGAATGGCAATCATTAAAAAGTCAGGAAACAACAGGTGCTGGAGAGGATGTGGAGGAATAGGAACACTTTTACACTGTTGGTGGGACTGTAAACTAGTTGAACCATTGTGGAAGTCAGTGTGGCGATTCCTCAGGGATCTAGAACTAGAAATACCATTTGACCCAGCCATCCCATTACTGGCTATATACCCAAAGGACTATAAATCATGCTGCCATAAAGACACATGCACACGTATGTTTATTGCGGCACTATTCACAATAGCAAAGACTTGGAACCAACCCAAATGTCCAACAATGATAGACTGGATTAAGAAAATGTGGCACATATACACCATGGAATACTATGCAGCCATAAAAAATGATGTTTTTCTGTATGTTCTTTGATTGCTCCTTTGTGTGACAACAATTTTATTATACAACCTCAAATAGAAAGATAATTCAGTCTTTAAAAAAAAAGAAAAAAAAATCCCTTTGAGAACAACATGAATTTTGCTAAAATTGAAGTAAGAACAAACATCAAATTTATTGTGAGGTTTGGGTAAAAGAATGGTGATATTATCAATGCTTTAACAAAAGTTTATGAGGACAGTGTCCCAAGGAAATCAGCAGTTAACAAATGAATAACTCGTGTTGAGAAGGGATGAAACGATGTTGAGGATGAAGCCTGCAGCAGGAGACCATCCACGTCAGTTTGTGAGGAAAAAAATTCATCTCGTTTGGGCCCTCGTTGAAGAGGACCAATGATTAACAGCAGAAACAAGAGCCAACATCATAGACATCTCCACTGGCTCAGCTAATACAACTCTGAGAAAAATTAAAATTGAGCACACTCCACTCCATGGTGTCAAAACCATTGTGATCAGCAGACAAGAACAGAGTTTTCAATGAACATTTTAAACAAGTGCGATCAAGATCCTGAAGCATTTCTTTGAAGAATCGTAACAGGATATGAAACATGACCTTACCAGTATGATCCTGAAGACAAAGCATGATCAAAACAACACCTACCAAGAGGTGGAAGTGGACCAGTCACAGCAACAGTGGACGGGTCAAGAGGAAAGGTCATGGCAACTGTTCTGCGGGTTGCTCAAGGCATTTTGCTTGTTGACTTTCTAGAGGGCCAAAGAACAATAACATCTGCTGATTATGAGAGTGTTGAGAAAGTTAGACAAAACTTTGGCAGAAAAACACCCGGGAAAGCTTCCCAGAGAGTCCTTTGCCACCATGGCAGGGCTCCTGCTCATTCCTCTCATCAAACAAGAGCAATTTTCTGACAGCTTTGATGGAAATCATTAGGCATCCACCTTACAGCCACGATTGGGCTCCTTCTGACTTCTTTTTCTTTCCTAATCTTAAAACATATGTAAAGAGCATCCATTTTTCTTCATTTAATAAGGTAAAAGACTGCACTGACATGGTTAAGCTCTTGGGATCTTCAGTTCTTTAGGCTGATTAAATGGCTGGTATCACCATTTACAAAAGTGTCTTGATGTTGATGGAGTTTATGTTGAAAAATAAAGTGTGTATATATATATATATATATATATATATATATATATATATATATAAAAATTCAATTTTCTCATAAACTTTTTGAAGTCCCCTTGCATTTATAGGGCACTGGGTCTATGAGAGGCCATGTGCTGTTTATGATGAAATGACTCTTAGGAAACATGCACCCTTTGAAAGCAGGGACTCAAACAGGTCCTTACACACCCATGTTCATAACCTCACTATTCACAACAGCCAAAAGCAGAAACAACCCAAATGTCCATCCACAAATAAATGGATGCGCAAAATGTGGTTGTACATCCAATGGAATATTATTCAGCCTTATACAGGAAGGAAATTCTGATGCATGCTACAACATGGATGAACCTGGAGGACATTATTCTAACTGAAATAATAAGCCAGGCACAAAAAGATAAACCCCATATTGATTTCGCTACAATGAGGCACTTAGAATAGGCAAATGTATAGAAATAAAACCATTCTATTGTAAAGATACATACACGTGTATGTTCATTGCAGCACTATTCACAATAGCAAAGACATGGAATCAACCCAAATGCCCATCAATGATAAACTAGATAAAGAAAATGTGGCACATATACGCCATGGAATACTATGCAGCCATAAAAAGGAATGAGACCATGTCTTTTGCAGGGATATGGATGAAGCTGGAAGCCATTATCCTCAGCAAACTAACACAGGAACAGAAAACCAAACACCACATGTTCTCACTCATAAGTGGGAGTTGAACAATGAGAACACATGGACACAGGGAAGAGAACACACAACGAGGCCTGTCAGTGGGGCACGGGAGGGAGAGCATCAGGATAAATAGCTAATGCATGCGGGGCCTAATACCTAGGTGATGGGTTGACAGGTGCAGCAAAGCACCATGGCACATGTTTACCTGTATAACGAACCTGCACATCCTGCACATGTATCCCAGAACTTAAAATAAAATATTTTTTTAAAAAAAAGAAACAGAAAGCAGAGTGGTGGTTCCTAGAAGCTGGTGAGTAGAGGGGGATGAGGAGTTATTAATGGGGACAGTTTCAGTTTGGGATGATGGAGAAATTCTGGGATGGATGGCAGAGGTGGTTGAACAGCAATGTGATGCATTTAATGCCACTGAACTGTACACTTGAAAACAGTTAAAATGGTAAATGTTATGTAAGTTTTACCACAATCAAACAAACAAAAAATAAAAACAGGGAAACATGTATCCTAGTGGGGGCAACCCGGCAGGGGCACATGCAGTGTACTGGAGCGCTCAGAGGGTGGATGCAAGGTCATCTGTTCTGCATGGGTCTGACTTGGCCTTGTGCATGTTTAAAAGCTCCACTTCTCTCTGTTTCGAGATGTCAGTGTGTGAGCTGCAGAGTCACACAGTTACTCAGAAGAAAACACAGAGCCTGTCTGAACATCACAGATTGCAGGGCAGACAGTGATGTGGTGTCACTGGAGGATGAAAGGCAACTTGATATGGATGAAGAGCATGAGGGGGTAAGCCTGTCTGGGTATAAGGAGGCAGCAGGAGACGCCCCTGCCTTCGTTAAATAGCTAGGAAGTCCTAGAATGGGCTGAAATTAGACCAACTCCTGGTCCTTCCTCGGAGAGAGTACTTAAAATATGTATGTGTTGAATTCAGGGGAAAAATACAATATACCAGGAACACACTTTGCAAACTATAAGCAGCTTACAAACATAAGTGGCTCTCACAACCTTGCTCCAGAGCTGGGATGAAATAAAATTTTGTCTTTTGCTTTTTAAAAATCAGTTCAAGCCTGTACACAGTAGCCTGAAACTATCTAGATACTGAGGCCAGGCTTCTTCTTAGGAAGTTGAGGACATTTCCTCCAGACCCAAGATCTTAGCTGTGGTTTTCTGACTGGGGTGCCTCTATTTATTTATTCTTTTTTTTTTCTTTTCCTGAGACAGGGTGTCACTCTGTTGCCCAGGCTGGAGTGCAGTGGCGTGATCTTGGCCCACTGCAACCTCCACCTCCTGGGTTCAAGCAATTCTCCTGCCTCAACCTCCCGAGTAGCTGGGACTACAGGAGCATGCCACCATGCCCGGCTAATTTTTTTATTTTTAGTAGAGATGGGGTTTCACCATATTGGTCAGGCTGGTCTTGAACTCCTGACCTCAGGTGATCCACCCACCTCGGCCTCCCAAAGTGCTGACATTACAGGCATGAGGCACCACGCCTGGCCTGGGGTGCCTTTAGATGCTGCTGGGGAGAGCTGAACTGAGTGTGTGGGACTAGCCCTGAGCTGGCTCCCTGGTCCACACTGGTCCAGTGTTTCTCTGTACAAATGTGCCAGCTCTTTCTTGTTTTACAGAGAAGGAGCCTCTGCAGGGCCCCAAGGTGTGAACACTCAGAATTCCCATCAAGGCCACCCTGGCCCCACCACAGCAGAGGGTGCTGCCAGCCACCTCAGCCATGTCCCCACCCCCAGACAAGCGTGTTATTTCAGGCTGGTCTTTGATGGAAACTGGCAGAGGGGGCTGCCAACAGGATAAACATAGCAGTGCTTTTTTTTTTTTTTTTTTTCTGAGTTGTGGAAGCTCTGGACAATGTTGTGGTTTGGGGTAGAGAATTTGGATGCCTTTAGTTAGAAACAAAATCTATAGGGAAAAAAAAGGAAATCCCTGCCTTGCGGGTTGTGGTTTTTGTTTTGTTTTTGTTTTTCTTTCTGTTTTTGTTTTTTAATTTTCAAAGCACCTTCCCAGTCCTTCTCCGCAGTTGGTTGTATTTCTAAGTATTGAGAAGCAGTGTGAGGTAGTAGCTCTGTGACAGGTGGCAGGGATAGTGTGGTGACCCAGCTGACAGGGCCTGCCCTCACTGTCCCCAGGAGAGAAGAAAGCCATCCTTTAATGACCTTGTTCCCCAAGGAAGAACAGTCTAAGGAAGGAAGACCCTGCCAGACAAGCCCTGCTAGAAGCTGGGGACTGATCGCCAGTGTCAGGGAAGGTCCCCGGCAATGACGGGAGCTGAAGCTTGTGGAACGGCCTCTGTGCCGGGCACAGTGCTCCATGTGTTCACACAGGTCATATGACATTAATGAGCCGAGGGTTTTATCTCCAGGCCACACCGAGAGCAAGCTGATGAGGGAGACAGCCCTGGGCTCTCTAACTCCCAGCATGACTACTCCCAGCTCCAGGACTGTGGGACAGCTTGGCCCTGGGGCGCAGCCCCCCATGTCCCTGCAGCATCCTCACCCGCCCCTGCCCTCTGCCCTGGAGACGAATTTGTTCCAGATGGGAAGGTGACTGTAAACAGTCCTGTTGGCCCTAGCCACTTTTCAAATGAGGACGCTGCAGGTCAGAGAGCTCAAGTGGCTTCTCAAAGACACAGAGCCATGGAAAAGGAGACTCGAGTTTTGGACCAGAGCTTCTGACCCTAAACCCAATGCTCACCCTACAGTAAGAAAAGCCATAGCTGAAGCAAGAGAAAGCAAATGGCGTGGCGTGTGAGGGGAAACAACTCCAGACACCAAGCCCCTGCTGGGAAATCCAGTCCTGAGTCTGGTGCCAAAGCTAGACAGCACAGCTTGGAATGCTCTGTTAGTTTACAGCCTGCATGTGACACATATTATTGTTTTACTTGCAAATAGAATAACGAGACAGGGAGAGAGGGAGGGGCAGAGAATGAAATAAAAACAGAGAGAGATTTGGAGCAAGGTTGGATTAGGAAGAGAATGTGCAAGAATGCAGAGGAGATGAAAACAAAACAAAACAAAACAAAAAACAGCAGCAACAACAAAAAACCCAGCTGAGCTATGACGGAGCTATGATGGAGGGCAGGTGCACGTGAAGGACAGGTGAAGCCAAGGCTCTCTGCAGGTTTTCAGGAATTGCCCCCAGATGGTGGTGTCAGCCTCAAGTAGCGTGGTTGCTGTCCAGATTGAGATAAGACAGGAGAAGCCTCCAGGGTTGAGGGGTCAAGAAAACAGTGTCTCTGCATACCCATGTCTGTTAACTCAAGAAGTTCCAAACCCTGGGTGAATAACCTCACTGACATCTCTTCCAGCCAGTCACGTTCTGTCAATGGTCAGGTGGAAATAAACAGGTGATTGTACATTAGCAACTGTCTCCATCTTTACTGAGATATCTGGAATCAACCATGGGGACAATAATTTTCATATAGATTCCCAATCTGTCCAAGAAAAACAAATAGAAGCTAGAAGTAACTGGGCCTTCCAGACCCCTTCACTGGGGATGAGAGTGTGAAGAATGCCTGGATTTAGAGAGGACTTAAAGCACAGAACCTTTCTCTGCAATTAATCTTTTTGTTCTTTTGGCTACACCGTAGGCATACCAGAGTATCCTTTTCACTGTAGCATGTATTCTAACTTCTAAATGGCCTCAGTTTCCTCATCCTGGAACAAGACTACCTTGTGAGCTGGTTTGGAGAGACAGTGTGAAGCCACCAGAGCCCTCTTCGCTTGTTCACTACTTGAAATCCCTTCAGCCCATCTCAGTTCCCAGGTAGCTTCTGGGTCCACTGTTTATTACAGTCCCCGAGGTGGGCTGGCCACCAAGGGGCCAAATGCTCCTGCTCTCTGGGACCTGGCACTTCCCCAGAAGAGGCCTGCTTCCCCAGAAGAGTCCCACTCCCTGACCAGGGCTGGCCCTACTGGCTGGTCTTTATGGGCCAGGAAGGTCCCCGCCCTCTGCCTCCTGGCAGATTCTTGCCCCTCCTCCAGGGCTCAACTCAGACAGACACTTCCTCCAGAGAGTCTATCCTAACTCCTTCCTCCTTTTAGTTTCCTGGACACCTCGGGATTACTTCTCATTAGGTTCTTATACCAGAATGTCTTTTGGTTCTGATATAACTCATACTTCCTATGACATAATAGGAAGAGCACAGGATTGGTACTGGGAAACTCTGAGTTTGAATCCAGCTCTGCAACTAACAGTGTGGCCTTTGGCAAGTCTCTTAGGATGACCCTGAGCCTCATTTCTCAGAGCTATCCTGTAGCAATGATGCCACCTGCCTTTCAGGGCTGCCATGCAGTCCCTGGCACCATGTCTGGCAAGCAGAAGATACTCTGGCAACAGTAACCATCATAGGATGTTTTGCCTATTGGTGTGCTTCTATGTGAACACATGAATACCATGTGAATTCAGTGTCTGACATAGTAGGAGCTCAGCAAAGATTTACGGAACTGACGTTGACCTCTGAAATGTCCCTTGAGCGAGCTAAGCTTATCTAGGAGACAGTTCCCACTCCCAGAATGGCTGACTGTGCTTCTTTCAGCGGGAGGTGCCCAGCTGCCACCTTCCAATGAATCCTCCCATCCAGCCCTGCTGGAGAAGGCTGGGCCTCAGCTGTCCTCCAGGGTTGGGCAGGGAGGCCACAGACAAGAGCCAGGGCATGAGGAGCTATGGAAGGGGCAGAGAAAGCCTGAGTCCAGATCCTGATGCCCACCCTGCATCTCTGTTACCTAAACTCTCCTTTAAATCGTGGTCTTTTGTATAAATGGTGGGGAACGAAAGGGGAGTTTAAGTAGACAACCTCTAGTATCTCTTTTAGTGAGGACATCCTATAGAGAGGTCATGTTCCTGGAAACCAAGTCACCATCTTCTGGCACCTGGGAAGGCCTGCACTGCTACCTGGGGGTGGAGATAAAATCTGCCACTGCACAGCGAGGGCCTCCTGAGTCCCACTCCCCGGCCAGGGCCTTTCTTTGATTGTCCTTCCATTAACGTGCCAAAGAACACCCAGAAGGCATCTTCCCAGGTATCCCTGGGGTCAGTCCTTATTATGCTCACCTGCTGCTTGCCTCCTGAGGGCTGAGGCACTTCCCATTGAACTTGCCAGCTCTGTGCTGCCACAGGGGCTGCCATCACAGCCAGCAGCCATGTCAGTGGTGATTGGGGTTGGGAGAGCATGGGACCCCACCTGGGCTTCCTGCTCTTCCGGTTCCAGATGCTGCTGAAGACAGGGCTGGGTGGCTGGCTGCCTGTGGGGATCTCACCAGTCCCAAGGCCTGCTTGCAGCGCACCACGGGCTCTGATCATGGCCAATGCTGCCACTGCCATGGGACACGCTCATGCCCAGCACAGGCCTGCTCTTGCAACCGTGAAGCTCCACACCACGCTGGGCTGGGCTTCCAAGGTGGCAGCTCACAGCCACCGAGGCCTGGGTCAACAGCACAGAGGGGAAACTGCAGAAAGGTAGGCGGGAGCCAGGTATGAAGGGCCTTGCTACTCCTCGAGGTGCTGGGCATCCTGAGGGCAGTCGGGGCAGGATGTTGGGCAGGGGTAACTCGGCCAGTCTGCATGTCGGAGGGTGGGTTAAATGGCAGGGAACAGGTCAGGAGTCAGAGTGGTGGTCCATGAGAGAGGTGATCAGAGCTGATGGGAAGCAGGAGCTATGTGAATGAAGACAATGGGGGAGGTGCCGGCATGCAGGGGAGATGGACAGGAGAGAGGAGGGCTCCAGCTCTGCCATCCTGGGCCAGCTAGCTGAGGTCTTCTGCTTCTTCATCTGCAAATTGGCATAGAGTAGCACTGGCTTAATGAGATAAGACAGAAAACATACTTACCACAGTGCCAGGCACCTGGTATTTTCAATAAGTCAGCAGTGATTCCACTGCTGCTGCCGGTGGCCCATATCTCCAATGCTAGATTTGCAGCTTTAGCCATGGGGTGAGCGGTGGAGCCCTAACCAGGATGGCTGGGTATCAAGAGATGCAGGGTGCTCTGATGCATTCAGTATTGGGTGTATACTTCCAGGAGTCATGAGGGAGCTGCAAGGGGGGAGCTCGTGGGTGGACATGGAGCTCAGGAGAGGGCTCCACGGGGGCTGTGGAGGTGGGGTCCTCGGGATACAGCTGAACAGTGGTTGAAAATAAGACATTCTCTGCAAGAGAACACATGCTCAGCAGCGAACCCCAGAGGGCTTGGGCAGAGCTGAGTTCAGGGGAGGGGGAGCAAAGGCAGCCAGCAGAGGGTGAGAGACAGACAGCAGGGAGCAGGCAGTGTAGACTCCAGGCTGCAGAGAGAAGGAACCAGAGGAGAATAGTGGCTTGGGAGGGGTCTGTGCAGGTTGAGAAACACTTGTCATTTTGGAGATAGAAGGAGAAGTTGAATGTGCAAAAAAGATGAGGGGTTACATGGTAAAGGAGAACCCCAAGGAAACTAGAAATGAATCCTGATGAGGTGGAAGAATGAGGAAGCAGGAACAAGACATTGTAAGAATGAAAGAGCAAAAGAACTAACACAACTAACTCCATTTTCAATTAAGGGAGCCCTTATCCATTCCTGCACGTAGGCTAGGATAATTTTAGGGCACTGAGATAAAATGCAAAAACAGCAATCATGTAGTTTTTGAAACTGACTCTGGGATTAAAGGAGAAGTATGTAAACAACTATGTTTCGTTGAAGGTTTATAGGAGCTTTGTGATCTGACCAAGGACAAAGGAGTTTCCAACTTCCTGGACCCTCGCTGGTGCCCAGATGTTAGCAGTTGTTGGTCATGTCTTTAACATAAAAAGAGCCTAGAATTTGTACTGACTTGAGATGGTCTCTGCAACACTAGTCTGCCATCTCCTCAGGCTGCCAGCTCTTGAATAAGCCTGCTTTTCCTTCCACTAAATCTTGTCTCTCAAGTTTGGCTTCCAAGCAGTGAGCAGGAGAACCTGATTTCAGTTACAACATTTTAAGGAATTCCAAACTGACTATGAAATGGGCTGGGGTGCAGTCACAGGGCACTCAGAACTGGGGTACTGTGAGAACCTGGGAACCCACACATGGGCTGAGGGAGAAAAGAGATGGAGGAGACCCCACAAAGGGGAGGATTGGGAGCCCCAATCCTTAGCTGAGCCAAAGATCAGCCCTGCAAGAGGTCAGGGTTCTTCCAGCCAGCAGGAGTGAGGGTGGGAGCAGAGAGGCTTCCTGGAGCCAGAGCTCAGTGCAAGGGGCAGTTTTAGGGTTAGAATGCCTGGGAGGTCGCCAGGCTGGCAGGTACCTTTCCATCTCCTTAGTTTGCCCAGCTTCCTCATGATGTTCTCTGGGTCCATTGTGGCCAGGACACTGGCTTAGGACCCTCTCTAAAGTCTCCATCTTTTGTGGACCACAGACCCCTTTTAGAAAACTGAAGAGAACATCAGACCCTCACACACACAACACAAACGTCTGCATAAAAATTCCTGGGTGTTGTTGGCTTCCCTGAGATCCATCCACAGACCCAGGAGTCTGAGGTACTAAGTGTACACATAAACAGGAAGTAATCACCCTGGCCGCCCCCAGCATGTAGAAAGCTGTCATAAAGGAAAACAGAAGGCTGATTCCTTCAGCACAGCCCAGAACCCCATACAGACCACCTACTAATGAGCTTTCTCCTCGTTGTTGATGGAGGACGCTTGTAATAAAGTTTAATGTGGAAGAACAAGGTGCATTTAACCAAAGCTGTAAACATCTCTAATTATATTTAAAACTGTAGAGTGCAGTACATTAACATTTAACAATCAGACACTAAATTGGAGTGACGCTAATAGCATTGTGTTTATTAGAAATTGGGCACCAAGTCGTCTTTCACCAGTGACAACAGAAGGAACAGAAAACCTCCATGGCCACCCTTCCCCACCACGCTGCGTGTTCAGGAAGAGTCTTGTCCAAATCCCCACCCCCTGAGAAGATGAGGATTGCTCTGGGGAAAATACACTCAGCAGACCAGACACAGCTCAGCGCCCACGTCTGTTAGCCTTAGGCACTGGGGAATGTTTTTTTTTTCCCAGAGAAAGAAAGCACTTTTAAAAAGCAGTAATCAATTAATTCAGAATGAGCAAAGGCTTAACCTCTATTCTCCCTGCCCTCTGCAGAGTTCACACTGCAGATCCCTTCTTCCTTTGAGACACCCCTAGGAGCAGCTTTCTCCTGGCTCTCCCCTGCTGCTGTGACTGTCACTGTCCTCTGATCTCCACCTGGATCTCCTTGCCTGCTGCATACCTGCCAGCATGGATGCTCCCCACTGCTCAGGCCCAGCCCTTCCCCTCCTCAATGTGCAGGCAGCCTCTCCCTGGGACTCTTGCCCGCTGTCAGGGCTTTGGCTGTGACCTATGCCCTGAGGACACCCCCTTTCCCGCAATGAGCACCAGATCCATGTTTCCAACAGTTTACATCCTTGTCACTCAAAGTGTGGTTCAGGGACCAGAAGCATGGACATCCCTGGGAGCTTGTTAGAAACTCAGAATCCCAGGTCCTATCCCAGACCTCCTGAGCCAGGATCTACATTTTTTTTTTTTTTTTTTTTGAGACGGAATCTCACTCTATTGCCCAGGCTGGAGTGCAGCAGCACGATCTCGGCTCACTGCAAGCTCCGCCTCCCGGGTTCATGCCATTCTCCTGCCTCAGCCTCCCGAGTAGCTGGGACTACAGGCACCCACCACCATGCCTGGCTAATTTTTTGTATTTTTAGTAGAGACAGGGTTTCACCGTGTTAGCCAGGATGGTCTCGATCTCCTGACCTCATGATCCGCCCGCCTCAGCCTCCCAAAGTGCTGGGATTACAGGCGTGAGCCACCGTGCCCACCCAGGATCTACATTTTAACAAGATCTCGATGATTTGTGCATGCATTAAAGGTTGAGAAAGCACTAGTCTACATGCCCATCTATCTGGACACCCCACAGCCACTCCAGCCCAGCATGGCCATGCTGAATGCAGACCCCTCCCCTAGACCACGAATTTCTGTTTGGTTTTCCTTCCTGATGAACAGTTTCTATCCTATGTATGGAGATGGGAGTGTGGTCTGGAGTGGGGTCAATGTCCCCGCCATGTGGCTGCCTCACTTTTTAATGGGCTCCAAATGACACAGAGCTGGGTCACCTGGGTCTCACTGCAGTTTCCTGGATCAGGGATACTGGAAAGATGTCATGTTCCACATGGACACCAGCCTAAGCTTTAGGCTGACACAAAAAGACTCCCTCCAGCATGCAAGTGGCATGGCTCTTTTTTGTTACCACGCTGTTCCCTTCCACTTATTGGTGCCAGTGCCCCTCAGTCCTCCTCTGGTCCTGTTGGTGTCCCTCTCCAAATCTGAGGCCTCCCTTCCTTAGGGAGAGCATCAGTCCTGGAGCCCTCCATCGGGAGCTCTCCATTAAGAAGGGCATCTTCAGAACCCAGGGTGGGGCCCACTCGGGCAGCAGGACACACGGTGCAGCAGGAGCTCAGGGGCTGCAATGCAGCCACTGGGTGTGACCTAATTGGGCACCCTGGGTACTGATATCAGTATTTTGTTTGTTTGTTTGTTTGTTTGTTTTGCTTCCTGTTCTGGGAAGCAACTTTGATGCATACTGTATTCATATTCTTTATGCAACCTGACTGGCTTGACCAAAACCAGGATTTAAACAGCAGAGTAATTAGAGAGTTTATGGAAGAGAAGAGTCTGGGGATGTTAGGGACTTGGGTAGAGTCCTGCCCTTCCAGGACATTCTCCTCCCTGCTGCTTGCTCAGTGTCTGTTGCCTTCCAAGGCTTCTCCACTAGGCAGGAGATGTGGCAACAGATAGATATGTGCCATTCCAGCTTCACTGCCCAAGGCAAAGATGATTTCTTTCTCCCCAGGATTTTGATATTCCAGGGGGCCATGTGCATGCTTAGGACCATTTCTGGCATGAGCTCCATTCTTGGCTCAGCCTAGGTTACAGTCATGCATATCAGAGGCTGTGATGAGCAGGGCCATGAATAATTCCCAAAGCGAGGGGGTCTTTGGGCTCATTGCTGTGTGGGCCAGCCCACATTATCATACACTAAAAATATATTTTCTAAATGCCCCATGTTGTCTTCACTCTCACAAGAGTCAAGAGGTGGGAGGCCTGGCTTTTCCTTATTTTCCCTGTGAGCTAACAGAGTGGCGGTACATTCGTAAAAAGGTGACTCTAAGGAATCCCAGGCCTCTCCTCCACTACAGCTGCTTCAGGGCAGGCCTCGGGGCTTTGGCTTGGCAAGACAGTTTCACCCAGGTGGATGCCCCTTCATACCTCCCGGCTTCCTGTGCTGACTCCATGCCAACCATGCCAAGGCCAAAACTCACCACCAAATCTGAGAGCATCTGCTGTCTGCCTGAAAGAAGCCACTGCACTCTAACCAATGGGTTCATACTTCTTTTAGCTTCATTTAAACATTTAAGCAATGGTCTATTTTGAAAATTACTCATATGTAGTTTCTGCCATTGATGCCTTATAGTGAAAACAAATTGACAAACTTTCCCTAATTTCTATTTCAATGATATGTGATATGTTTCCCCTTATCTTTGGAAATGACAATGCATGATTAGTGGTCCATGGACAAAGAATGAATGAGTGGGCACATTTTTTTAAGCTTACTATGGCAATAATGTCAATATATCCTCTCAAACAAGCACCTGATACAAGTCATCCATTGCTTCCAGTTCTGAGCACAGCTTGGGCATTTGCTTCTGGAGATAACAGTGGGACCAGCTCTGCCTGGATGCTGTCCATAGCTTCCAAGATTCCCCTGGGCAGCATTTTCAGTAGGAGGAGATAATCTGCAGGTTCCCATTCACACACCTTAGTGTGGATTCATGCAGTGATGACCACAGTTTGGGAGAAAGAGGCTGGATTCAATCTATAATATAACAATGACTGGTTTGACTCTAACTGGGAGCTACTAGCTCTTAAGAGCATGTGTTCTTGGTAGAATGTGTTCCTGTCCATGCATAATAACCCTAAGCTCTCTTTGGATTTAAGTGGGTGGGTTTGGGGGTGAATGAAGTTCATTTCCGTTCTGTAGAGGCCTAAGGGGCCTGGGAAGATATTACCCCCTGGCCTGTTGCCCTCTTCCCGCCATTTCCTTTTCATGTGCCCCCTCTCCTTCCCATTTGGCACCCCCAGAGCCCCACAAACCCATAAGGCTCTTTGGGCAAATTAGGAGATCATCCTCTGCCCTCAAAACACTATACATCTGTCAGAACACTGCCATGATAAAATTAAAAATCCCTGTGATAATTATTATATAAATGGTGTGCTAACCATATATCCTCCCCTCCCAAAGAGATGCTCAAAGAAGTTCTAGTGAGTTCTTCCAAATGGTTCTTTCTTCCTCAAAAGCTGCATGGTTTATTCAGTGCCTTCGAGATCTGGCAGAGAGGGAGGAATGAGACACAGGTGTTATCCAGAGAGGGTGAACTTCCACTTTGTAAAGGCAGACCAGTTTGCTCCCAGAAAATCAATATCTGCTTCCAATTTGGACCCTTTCCAATAAACCATAAACTCTCATGAGTCTTTGGGAACATTACTGTAGGGCTAAGTTGGTGGACAAATATTTGGTTTTTAAAGTTATTGCAATGAAAGCCTTAAATAGTGAAGAAATTTTCATTTTGAAAATGCAGACTGGCTTTAGCATGAATGTCAACACAGAGCATTTGTGTAGCAATTTACAGTTTCTAGAACTGGCAAGATTCATTATCCCATTTTACCCTCAAGAATTCTATGGGAAGTTAAGTCGTCTTTACACAAACATGGAGTCTGAGGTCATTAGGGGATAAGAAATTTAGCCAAGTTCACACAGCTATATAGAGGGCACAACTCATACCCCAGCTGTGTTTAAAATAGATAATTTATCATATATACATGGTCCACTACATAGTCAAACAATTTCTATAGTGGGCAGTAAATAGCCACCCAGACTATACTCACATCAAGAAATGTCCTCAATAACACAGTTGACAGGATGGTGCTTTCAGAATGGATCCCCTGCCAGTAAGTCCAAGATTCCTGTGTCCCAAAGGTCCACAGAGCAACTTCCCCATGCACCCTGACCCCCATTCAAACCCATTAGAATTCACACACAAGGTTGCAATGGGCAAGGCACTTGGCAAGAGGAGGGTCTTCAGAACACACTTTCCAGCTTGGCGTGTACTTCCCACTCTCCTACCCTGAGGGCACCTGGCAGCAGACACCTTCAGGGGCTGAATCAGAGGTGACTGAGCTTGGCACACAGTGAAGAGGCCCATGCGCTCCAGTGTGTCTTCTGATGGCCAACACCTGTGCTCCTTTGGAAAAGGGTGAGTAAGCACTTCTTAGAGAGTGTGTTTCTCTATCAGTACAGGTCCACCTTGTGAAAGGGCTGGAAGCCCTCTAGAATGGTGTTCTTCTTGTCCTGCGGCCTCAGGGTCTCATAGGTGGGCACCATGGCATTCAGAGACAGACCTTATACTTCTCTAGTCAGTCTGCCCCTCTGGCCTTAATCTTCAGGGTTAGTGCATCTATTTAAAACAAGAGATGCCATCTCAGGTGGTGCTGGCAATCAGCAGTTGGCTGTGGCCCTGGCAATGCCATCTGATCCTTGGAAAACCAACATATGTGCCATCTTACAGTTGGGTCCATAATGGCATTTCCTCTAGCTATATACTGTGAGCTTGTATCGTGGATACAGGAAGAGTAGAGAGTAAAATTAAGATTTAAAAACGATTTTAAAGAAAACCTGGGGAAAGAGGAGAAAAATGTGAAGGGGTTTGGCTCAGCAGAAAATCTCCTTGGCTGCTCTCAGGATCAGAATCCTTACGCTCAGGGCTCAAACCCAGGCGCATCTTGTCCCGGGAGATCTGTCAAGAGCTGTGGCCCCGATTCTTTTGGGGAGAGCAGGCTTGTACCTCTTCAAAGGCACCCAGAATGCTGCTGAAAAGGGGCTCCCCACCACTCAGAAGGCATGAGTGAAAATACAGACATAAGGGCTTTGTCTCCAAGGCTTCATAAATCACTGGGTGGCAGGTATTAAATAGAACCTTGGAGGTGGACGCTGTACTACAGCTTGTTCTCCTCGAAGAGGATCTGGGCGTAGACAGTGCTGGTGGGGGCGCCTTTGGCAGCCCGGTGGGGTTTGATCAGCTCCAGTTCGGCATAGGTTAAGTTTTCCTCAGCAATCTTTGGCTATAAAAGAAAAAACAAAACAAAACACAATTCTAGCTGACCACAGGAGCTCTACATCACACATTCATTCATCAAGTATGCATGTTCATAGCATTTTGGGATTCAGCGAGGGATAAGTGGACAAGAAATTTAAGAGGCTACATAATATCCAATAACATAATTAATAAGATAGATCTCATTGTCTTCTATAGAGCACTACGTCCTGCAGTGAGATCCTGTGATTTGCTTTCAAGTTGACATGAAACACTCACAAAAAAATGACTAAACACAAGGCTAAAATGAAACTTTAATGCTGAAGAGTAAAAATAATGTAACTAATGGTCTCTGATCAAAAGGGAAATATAAAAGTGGAGATGGAAACAAAAAAATTCTAAAAATTAATAACAACACTAGAACGCCACCACTTAGAAATTTTTGTAAATGACTTAGTATAAAACTATAATTTCAAAATATCTTGAAAATAATGCTAAGGAAAATATTCCTTGCCAAAACCTAAAGCCTATGTTTGAAGCAGTGCTGGGAGAAAACCATGGCCTGAAATACTTATGCTAAATAGCATGAATTAAGTAAATCAGGCCTCCAACTCAAGCAGTTAGAAAAAGAGGAATAAAATAAAGAATAGCAGAAGGAAGAACTTCATAGAAATAAACCCAGACTGCATAAATCACCAGTAAAACAGATAAACTGAAAAATAAATTAATCAAGATAAAAAGGGAAAAAGCGTAAGTGAATAAAATAAAAAATAAGATAAGAGACATAAACAAAATGAAGGAAGTTTAAAAATGCTTAAACAAGACAGTTTGCTGAATATACTGAAAAAACTTTTAAATACAGGATAAAATGCATTATGTTCCAGAAAAATAGAAATTATAAACATTAACTCCAGGAAATCTGAATGTACCATCAAAAAGAAGGAAGGAAAGAAGGAGGGAAGAAGGAAGGAAGGAAAGAAGAAGGAAGGAAGGAAGGAAGGAAGGGAGGGAGGGAGGGAGGGAGGCAGGGAGGGAGAGAGGGAGAGAGGGAGGAAGAGAGGATATCATTTATTAATACAAATTTTAAGTTAAATTTACTCAGAGAGAATGAAGTACATTAAAAGATAGATAATCATATTCAAGTTTATTCTATTCCAGAAATGCAAAGATGGTTTGATATTAAAAAGTCTATTAATATAATTCATAATAGTAATAGATCAAAAGAGAAAAGTCATATGATTATAGATGCTAGAAAGGTACTTAATACAATTAAAAACACATTTTTGTTTAAAACAATTTTTGAATGAAGTAGGTGTAGACATATATTTTCTTAATATGATTAAGGAATATTATTAAAATAAAGAATAATTGCTTATTCAAATCTAGTGATATTAACAATTAAACCTAAAAGTTATTTTTCAATAAATGCTGTTGGAATACTTGGACAGCCATTTGAGAAAAAAAAAATCACATCCTTATATCATTCTTCACCCCAGGTTAATTCCAAATGAATTAAAAATTTTAATGTGGAAAATAAACCTATAAAAGTACTACAAAATAGGTGGGGAGTTTTTTAAAAATAGCCTCCAAGTATGGAAATAATTTTAACATATGACACAAAACCCAGGAGCAAAGGAAAAAAAGATGTGTGTACATTTTCATGCTACACATGGCAAAACAGTCTCTAAATAAAATTTAAAAAAACTGAAAAAATGAGGAAGATATTTATATCTCATATTAAAGGGATTTGCAATTCAACAAAGATAATAATCAAGTTTCCACTAGCAAATCTGGCAAAGGACAACAGACAGGACCAGCAGTTCATGGGAAAGAAAAATGCAAGCATCTCGGACACAGATGAAATGATACTCACCCTCTCATAATCAGAAAACCGACACTTAAAGTCACACTTAGACATCATTTATTTGTCTTTCAAGTTGCCAAACATTAAAAAAAAAAGGTTGACAAAACATAGAGGTCCTCTCCTATACTATGGGTGGGAGTCTTTCTTGGTACAAGCAAATAACTGTAAACACTTAAATAGGTATCAGTAGGAGATGGGGGCATTCGTATAACGCAATATACGGTGCAGTCTTTAAGAATGAGGGAGGAGCTATATGTGTACTTTATATTTCACTATCATATCCTGTGTAAATATGCATGTATGCGTGTATGTAAGTAAATATGTGGGTACATATTTTACATACTTAGAAAATCCTGGGAACTCTCGGCACTCGTTCAGAAAATGGAGAGCACATTAACCATGGCTCTTTCTAGGGAAGTAACCTGAACAGCTGCAGGGAGACTCAGCCTTCACTGTGTACATTTGTTGTTACCTTTTGGATTTTGTAGTAGGCATTTTTTAATGCATTTATTTTTTTTTATTTAACAATGCATTAATTAATTTTAACCCATAATTAAAAAAATAAAAGTTGGTCATGAATTTATAGTCACACAGACATTTTCATTTAAGCACCTCTGCTCTTTATAAGGATGTCAGACTTAGGGTTTTTTGGTTTTGGCTTTGGTTTTGTTGTTGTTTGATGGACTTTTTAAAAAAAGTTTGTATGCCTATTTCCTGGTTATCTGGTGGAAATTCCAAACAACTAAACCACCTTCATTCAATTTAAGTTTCTTAAAAAGAATGCCAAAAGCAAAACACTTCTTTTCTTTTGAGATGATGCACCCCAAAAAGGCACGGGAAGTAATAGACAAGGAGAGTTACAAAGAGTTCTTCAAGCCAGCACCTCTGCTGGGGGTGACTGCCAAGTGACCTAGACGAATTGTCTAGCAATTTTTCAATTTCAAAGTTAAGATCATTTATAGGGATGGGAGCCTTCTGCTTGCCTTTTGACACCAAAAGTCTTTACATTTCTTCTTAGTCATCCATATCTTACAAGCAACAAAAACCCTGTTTACATTCTCGCTTTTCAGTTTAATTACATTTCCCATTATAATGATTCCATTTAGAAATGCCATGTGTCCTCAAATAAGCACACAAAACCCAACTCATGTAAATTTTAGCACCAAGATTTATGAAATCATATTGTCCAGGTGTGTTATTACATTACCTTGAAATTGCATTGTTTTCTAGTGTAGATTATCTGTTTATTCTTAAGTTATTCCATTACGTTTGGATATGAAAAATAACACTAGCTCTTTCAATACAGGTCACCAGGCTGGCTTGGCTGATGTGTTGTTTTCATACATTTTTATGATGTTCCTATAGTAAACATAATTTAATAAAGCCAAAGCACACTAAATAAATAATTGCATCTAGAAAAGCAATAAAAACAAATAAAAGTAGTACTTTCATAAGTGGAAAAGGTACTTCAATTACTGCTACAAGCAACAACCCACCATAAAATGTGTAGAATCATTTCCCTTATGCATATTTCTGGAATATAATAATTTGATTGAAGATACGAGGCAGCTCACAGGAGGCTCAGAACTGTGAAGTGTATAGTTTCCAAGATAAGATGCATAATATCAGTCCTTGGCATCTTTAAAGAACCTATTGTTTTTCTGGCATGCACACTTGGCTATCACAATCAGCCATGTGCCTAATTACATTTCCCAGCTTGTTTAACTGGAAATAAATTCCTAATGGCCAATGAAAGGGGCAAATGCATATTCCTCACTGGTTTTCACCAAACTACGTTTCTTTGCACTAATGTTTCAGTGGAAGGTTTAAGGTGCATTTGAGGAGAAGCTTAGAGAAAATTTTTGGCACATCACTAAGACTAGGTAAACTAAAAAACTGGTGGTAAAACCAAGAGCCAGGAGCTGAAAGCAGTGGTTAAAGCAGGTGGTTGCAATGGGGCACAGCCTGACGAGGAGCCTGTTGCAAAGCCTCACCTTTACTTCAGATGATACAAGTTTACTGCTATCTTCAGTAGACAAGCCCAAACTGGATTTAAGCTAGGGAATCACTCCCAGCATCTCTAAAAATGAATGAGGAAGCACTTCTGTTAATTTCCTGATAGACGCTGGCTTCAAAATGACTCTCTTCAAGCCCCCACCCTACTCTGGGGGATGCAGGAAGTACAGAAGGTTGCGGAGTGTTAGTACAAATTGTGGAACTCAGGATAGAAGCTTCAACAGTGTTGAACTGTCTATTCACAAACACTCTTAACGACTGTAAATTCCATTGAAAGCCTCAAGGAAACTGCTTGAAGGAGGAGTTCCAGGCCTCAGACCCGGACCGAGTTTTACATTTATATCCAGATGTTGTAATCACTGGAAAACAGACAGCAAGAGTGAACCAACTGCTGCTGGGAAGTCCTGGCAGAATCCTTTAGAAAAAGCCCTAGAACTTTCTAAATATGTGAGAAGCAACTCGGCCATTTCCTCTCTCCCAGGGCTGTTTGGTTTTACTTTATTTTCCATTTCACCTAACCTGCTGTTACTCCTGGTCAGATTCTCTTTCTATTCCTCAAATAAAGGCCTGGCATTTGTTGTATTCAGCTGCTTGGTATTTTGTGTGTCTCAAATCCCTTGTTTCATGGACCCTTAGTCTCACTTTTCATATTAGAAAACTACCAGACAGGGAGAAAACTACCAGCCAGTGAGAATCCACAAGTAATTCTGGAGGAGGATTCTATGAGCAAGGGGGGATGGAGGGTCAGATACACGCACGTATTGATGCATCAAAGGAAGGCTGCAATAAAGGGAAATTCTTCTAACTCTCAGATCAATGAAAGTGTTCATGGAGAAGAGGTGAGGAGAGTGGCTGAGGCTATCGTCCTGGGGCTGACAGCAGATCATGGGTGCAGGAGGAATTTGGATCTTAGTTTAAAGGTCAGCTGTGTGACCTTGGGCCAGTTCCATCACTGGAGCTCAGAGATAATACCTACTTTGTTGGATGATTATGAGGATTGAAATGAGGTCTATGTAATGTTTTGGCCCAGCAGCTGCCCCATAAAAGGTGCTGAACATGTGTGTGCTGAACAAATCAGTGTTTCAGTGGCATCACCTCCTCTCTAGGGTCAGCTAAAATAGCACGCATATGTGCACGTTCTGAATGCTTCATAAGTTAACAAGAACTTTGTGAACTAAGTAGCCCTGGGTATCTTTTGACAGGTAAGGAACAGATTCTAGGAAATTAGTTGTTATGGACTGAATCTTGTTCCCCAAATTTCCTGTGTTGAAGCCCTAACTCCTAAGACCTCAGAATGTGACTCTATTTGCAGATGGGTTTTTTTAAAGAGGTAATTAAGTTAAAATGAGGCCATTAGGGTGGGCTCTGATCCAATTTGACTGGTGTTCTTCTAAGAAGATGAGGACACACACACAGAGTCAAGACCACATGAAGACACAAGGAGAAGGCGGCATCTGCAAGCCAAGTTGAGAGAGAGAGGCCTTGGGAGAAACCAACCCTGCCAGCACCTTGAGCTCAGACTTCCGGCCTCCACAACTGTGAGAGAATAAAGTCTGTTGTTTTAAGCTGCCCTGACTATGTGACTGTGGTGTTTTGTTATGGCAGCCCTAGCAAATGAATACATAAGTCAAGGTGAGGACAGAAGAGAATGGAAGAAAAGAAAATAGCCTTCCTGAAGGGGAGATGAGAAGAACTACCTGATAGGGTGGGAGAATATACGAGATTAAGGCATTTATGTCAGCAGCAGAGCACCCTCCCCGAGACAAGGCAGGGGACAAAGGTCTGATACATTTACCCCTGGTTCAGTGAGGAGCAGGGCTGGAGGAGAAAGGCTCTAGGACTTCCTCACATGGCACCCTGCCCCCACACACACCTCCCATCCCCAGCTGCCTGGCCCGCCATGGCCAGGCCTCGGCCTTGACCCTGGGCTGCAACAGATCTAGCTGGGTTGCTGGCAGCCCACACAAACCTCCAGCTTTCTGGAAAGGGGGCAATGGTGACTGCCATGCTGACTGGTATGAAGGGCACCTGGCTCCAGCAGGGGAGGGAAGCTAACAGAGAAAAGCCACCCAGGTGTGGCTGCCTCCATCTGAGCAATGCACCTGGCTACCAAGTGACCGGCACACGGGCTAGCTGCAGGACATTCCTGCCCTCTGAACTGCACCCGGGGCCGAGACAGATCCTGCAGTCAGCTGAGCACACAGAGGCTGTGAGTGCCAAGGGTCAGGTTGTTTCTGCCCCCAAACCCTGTGTTCCATCTGCCATTCTGCAGCTCTCTCTGAAGCCACTTTTCTTTTGTTGCCACATTTCATGCTGGGGATGTAAGGAGAAACAAAATGACATGCAGAAGCAGCCCCACCTGAGGAAGAGACTGGGCTGAGGTTTCAAGGTAGAAGACAGAAAAATCCTAGAGGAAAGGGCTCCTTGCCCAGGGAAGCTATCATACTAGGTCTGCGTGCTCGGACTTCCCTGGGCACAGCCTCACTTCTTCCAGGGAAAAACAAACTAGATCTTAAGACAGAGAGGCAACATGAATGAAAACCAAGGCCAACCTGCTCAAGATGGTAGAGAAAACAGACCGAGGAGCCTAGTGTCTGCCGCCTCAATGAACCACTGGATTGGCCCTGGGTCTACCCAGGGTCTCCAGGTTTAAGTGACTGAGAGTTGAAATTCACCCCATGCTCAGCTCTCCCAAGACATTCTGTGGGGCAAGAGTTGTTCCCACCATGATGGGAAGCTCTTCTATAATATGTCTATTAAGATAGGTGCCTTTTTGTAATCTACCTAAAGGTGCCATATAGATGGGCAGTGGCCCTGGACTATGCCCAGATATCTTGTCCTAAAACACAAATAAAAACCAATCTGTTTCAAGATAAAGTGAAATACATAAAATAAACCAAGGCTTTGGGAAGTCACACTCCCAGGGCTAAGCAGAAGTGACCAGATGTTGGGAGGTGGTGGCGTTTCATCTCTGGGTGCCACCCTGCCATGGTGGCAGCCTGCTGCCTGCTGCCCTCCGTGTGGAAAAAGAGGGCCCAGCTCATGGTGGGAGAGGATGGTGGGGCTCAGGATGTGGGTGTTGACAGGGGCAGGGCTGGGCCAGAAGATTTATTCCCTCACAGCAGAGGAACCCGCTGCTACCTGACTCAGGGATGTTTCTGACCTGGGTTCTCTAGCAATGAAGGCCACAGGTTGCAAAACCCTGAGGGAAGGCGTTTCTTTACATTGCACATCCTGTGACTGCTGAAAGTACCAAGCCTTACACTACGGATGCAAAAGAGCCATGTGATCTGCTCAGTCCTCTTTCCAGGCTCCTCCCTGAAACTTCTCTAACAGGGGAGTACAGGTTTCTGTTTAAGTTGATCCCCTCCGCATGAAACTCTTGCCTGTCACACACAAGGTGGACCCCTACTCCTTCAAAACCCACCAGGCCCTCTGAATGCCCTGACACTGATGCCATTGGCGGCCACACTCTCCTGCACTCACTGCACCTGTGATTTCCTCTGACCCTGCACAGCGAGCTACTGGGATTCTGCCTCGCCCTCTCTAATGACCATGATCACCATCACAGAACTGCTCCCTGGCCAGTGAAGGAAGGCATTTTACAACAAACTAATGACCAACTCATTCATTTATACAAGTAACATCTAAGAATGCTCTAAGCATGCATGTTTCTGAGCTATGTTCTCAAATGTGTGCCAGGCCCCCCACGCTGCAGGCATGTTCACCAACATGTGTCCACAGACTCAGCCCTAGGATTACAGTTCCACTCATGCCTCCTGCTGTGTCTCCGATGACATAATGGAGGTTTCTCAAAATTTTATTTTATTTGTTTTAAATGACATGGGGTAAAATTGAGTTTTGAGGTGCCCAGTTCTAAGAATTGTAACACAGGTATAGATGTCTGTAACCACTGCCACAGTCAGGTCTCAGGACAGTTCCATCACCCCTGCATGCCACCCCTCTGCAGTCCCACCTTCCCTCCAGCCCGACCCCTGGCAACCACAGATCTGTCTTCTGCCACTATGTTTTGTCTCTTAGAAAAGGTGATGTACAAAGAATCATACAGTGTGTAACCTTCTGGGATTGGCTTTTTTTACTGAGCATAATTCCCTGAAGATTTATCCCAGTTGTTGCAAGCAACGATTGTCTGCTCCTCTCTGTTGGTAAAGAGTATTCCACATGCTGTAGCTAGCCATCCACTCACCTGCTGGATGACTTGTGGGTTGTTCCAAGTTTTTAGTGGTTATAGAGTTGTTATAAACGTTCAAATATAGGTTTTTGTGTGATGTTTTCATGCCTCCAGAGTAAATACCCAGGAGTGGGTTTGCTAGGCCACATGGCAAGTTATGTTTAACTTTGTAAGAAACTGCCTATTTGTCCAGGGTGGACCATTTTGCCCTCCCACCTGCAAAGCATGAGCGTTTCAATTGCTCCACATCCTTGTCAGCGCTTTTTTTTCTTTTAGCCATTGTTCTAGGTGTCAGTAGCACAGTAATTACCTTTCCCTTATGCTTAAGGAACTTTCCCATCCTAGACTTGAACTCAAGTGCTCCTGGATAGCTGCTGAGCCAGATTAAATTCTTACATAGCACAGTTTCCTCTCAGAAGCATTAGGAAAGGATGATCACACAGACCAGGTTTAAAATGCAGTGATGAACCTTCCTGGACTCTGGGCATCACAAAGTGAGTCTGCAGTTTTCAGAGCTTGCAATGGCCTGTCTAGCCTTCTGTTCTGCCAACAATGAGGTACTATAACAGCAGGTAGCAGCCTCTGGGCTGAATCTCCCACCTCTAATGCAAGCCCCTTTTCCCCCAGTTTGAGGGTGATAATCATGGAAAGTATGTCCATGGGGAAGAACTATTTGATTTGGCTACTGAGAGAAAAGTCAACCTCAAGGAATTCTGAGGTTGTGCACCTTTCTGGAAGATAACACACTTTAAGCTCTTAATGGATAGTTTCTGAGTATATCATTTTGTAGGTGTCTTTCCATGATTCAGGCTGGAACTTAACATTCTTACTAAGAGAGGTTTAGCATTCTCTTATGCAGACTCCTGCAAAACAACACTTTTTCACAGAGATCACAGTTGGATGTGTAACTTGAATTAAGTCACGGTAATAAAAGAAAAATGCAATTGCAGCCTCTGCAAGTTCTCTCAACATCAAAAGTTCAATTGGGTAATACCATTATCACAGCAACAGATCAATAACTGGGACATGGAATGTTTATGTTAACGTCATCTTAGAGTTTAAAAATGTGACTGCAGCTCCACAGAGCTGCACTATCAGGAATCTATTTACCCATGAGAGAATTACAAATTATCAGGGGCAGACTTCCTCTTCTACCTGCAAGATAAGTGCTCATTTTTTATTCAATGGAGTAACTTGTAAAACAAACTCTCCCCTAACAACAGCCACTGCACATACAACTATAGCCACCAAGGAGCTTGAGGCTGTGCATTCAGAAAGCTCTATTTGACAGAGGGTCTCCTCAATGGGTCTCCATAGTACCCAACTCAGGAGAGTAAAGTATGCTGTGAAGCTTATCAGTCCTACTATCATCGACATGCCTTGGATATGAACTTGACTTAATCTCAAGTACCATGGGTGCTGATTGGCAAATTTATTTAAATCTATTATGAAAAGAGAATATAGAGTTCTATGGTGTATATGTTAAATAAAAATAAAGAAACAAAAGAAATGTCTTTCCAAAACAAAGGACATAATCCAGAAGTGGCTTTGGGAGGTAGCAGAGTGTGGTGGCTGAGAATTGGTCCTTCTGAGAACAGAACTCAGAAAACACTAATTTTCACCATCTCGCTCCATCCTCATGCCAGCACTGTGAGGCAGGGCCAGTGATTATGGAGTCTGGATTACAGGTGGTGTCTGGATTCAGAGCCAGTCAGTCCTTCCCAGATGCTCGTGGGCAGTCCCAGGCATCGCAAATGCATGCTCAGAGGCAGAGTCTATGCTCTGATGTGAATGCCTTGTATCCAGGTGAGCAGACAGGCAGACAGCAGTCCCTTCCCAAGAAGTAGGCCTGGGATGCCAACAGGGAAAATAGTGAAAAGCCCTTGGCATGAATTGTTTGAGGTTTTGGAACAATCCCACACCACTCAGTAGGCAGTATGAGCTCCAACTAAAGGGGAAGTTGGGGGAGAAGGGAACTGGCCCCATCCTCATCAGAGGCAGGAGCCCTGGCTTGGTGTGGAGAAACAGAAGACTTGAGGCCACAGAACCCAAGACTTCCCAAAGATAGAAACATGGAGCTGTCCCTGGTGGGAGAGGGTGATGGAGGGGAAAGAAAGAATCTCACTGGAACACCTCCAGGGGGCCCCGCACCCCTCTCTACAGCCTCACCCCCAGGTTCCCAGTGTACCTCTGGGTGGCATGGGATGCAGCCACAAGGCTGCAAGGCTCTGCTTGGGCCAGGCTGTGTGTGGGGTGGCAGCAGACCCCTGAGCAGAGCTGTCTGCTGGATAGGTGAAAATATGCAGCTGAGTATCCAATGGCTACTGAAGACGTCCAGGGGCATTTTCAGAGGTAACCGTTAGAGCCACCACCAGGTCTACTCTCACCATCTCCTTGGAGCGGAGGCCACTGGTCCACTGGGACCTCTGGCTCTAGCAGCATAACTCATAGTAGGTCTTCACTCAGATGTGAGGGCTGGAATCCAGTTGCACTCCCAAATCCAGCATTCTGCTGTGACTGCTGACTTAGGTGTGCCTTGACCCAGGGTCCAGAGACACATGGGGCCTAGGCACTCTCGGAGGCACCAAACGCCCCACCTACTCTGCAGCTTCAGGTATAAATGAGCCTTGAGATCATATCTGGCCAGATTCCCCCTCCACCCCACCTCTGCATGGTCACCCAGGGACTGAGAGCCAGTCACCCAGCATGCTCTAGGACAGTGGGAGGACTGGAAAAGTCTGGAGCTCAGGAGAGAAGTCTTGGATGGATATGAAGACGTGCACTTTGGGTTGGACGAACTCACTCAGAAATCATGAGCAGAGCAAATTCGCCTCAGGTCCTTGAGTCCAAAAAGTACACAGGATGTTCAGCAAAGTGCGTCCTCAGAATGGATTTGACATGACAGAAAGTCACCACCTAACTGCTTCAAGGACAGGCAGAGGTGACCCCTTCGGGAGCCTGCTAAATCTGGCATAGAAAGACCCAAGGCCAAATATTATTCGTTCAAGTTTCTACAAGTTATCAGACAGACAGATGCCTGTCAATGTCACCAACATATGTTTTGGAAGCTAAAATGTGATTATAGACAGTGTTCTTGGGGAGAGTCCTAATACCTGGAACTTTCAAAGTCTCACAGCAACTGCTCCATGGTCTAACATGGTCATTCATTTCCTCTCCCCTGTGGTCCATAGATGTTTGAATTCCCAGCTGCCTTTCAAAGGACTGTTACTGGCAGTACTATTCAAGAGGATGCTTTTGCTTAGAAAAAAGGGAGCCTTTGGTTATCTACTTCAACATAGATGTTCATGCTGAGAATTTGCAGACTTGAACACTCTCAATATTCTGATCAACTGCAATCTTTAACACTCTCCTAGACCCATCTAATTGTGCAAGGGCCTACTTAGGAACATGTGCTCTCAGAGACAGGAAGACTGCCATTTACTAGCTGTGTGACCTCGGACGAGGTACTTCACCTCTTTATTCCTCCATTTCCTTATCTACAAAGTGGGACTCATAATAGTAACTATCCAATAGAGTTATTTTGAGGATTAAATGCATAAAAACATGTAATGTGCTTGAAAAAATACCTGGTAGGCATACAGTAAATGCTATACAAGTGTTTGATTATTACTATTGCTACTATTTACATTATAGATGATAAACAAGTATTGTTTAAACAGTCCGTTGCTTTGAAATATTTACAGGTAGAAAGAAGAAAACACTTTGAGACGTTTTGGAAAGTATATGTGCTAAACGCTAATGAACACCACTGTGTCTCAGGCCAGGGCCAAACACATCTGGCTATTTTATTTTATTTTTTGGTAGGAAAGACAATCCTTCTAAATAATAAGTCAAACCATGCCACTCACTGCCCTGCACACAGTTCTCCAGTGGTTTCTCATCACATTCTGAATCCAGAGTTCTTATCAGGATATCAGCATGGATAAGGGTCTTGATCCTTCATTACCTCATCCTGTGCCTGCCTCTGACCTCGGCTTGCTCCACACGTCCCTCTTGCTGACCAGGGCTCCAGCCACATGGATCTCCATGTGTTTCCTGGACACACCCCATATGGCACTGTTCATTCAGGGTCTACTTCAGGACCTTTGCCCAGGCTGTGCTCTCAGCCCAGCCTGAGATGTTCTCCCCACAGAGCCATGTGTCTCATTCCCTCACTCTCAGGTCTCTGCTCAACTGTGACGTCCTCCCCATTGAATACAGCCCCCCACCCCCAGCTCCCCTTGCCCTGTTCTACTGCTCTCAGAGCACATATCACTCCTTGGTATTATAAGGTATCATCAATTTGGTAGCCTTCTGTCTTCCTCCACTAAAGAATGTGACAACAGCACCTAATATTTACTTAGTACAACAACTAGTCTATGTGGAAGTTACCCTTATTATAGTCCTCATTCGACATGTGCAGAGATGAAGGTGGAGAAGTGGCGAGCATGCAGACAGTAGCTAGTGAGCAGCATGGCTGGTGTAGAGCCGGCCTCTGACCACATCACTGGGCTCCCCAAAGGCAGTGACTCCGTAGCTTATTTACTGCTGCATCCAGGGCCGTGTGGATAAATGTTGACAACAGGCTTGACAGGAAAGAAAGCTCTGATGTGAGCAGTAATTTCTGATTTTCATGTGTGACTACCCTTACCACAGCTAATTTCAAGGTGCCAATGTATGTGCCCCCTTTAGTGGATGAGAGAGGCTCGAGGATGCTGCTGGCTGCAACTTCAGCTCCTAGAAAGACATCTGACTCAGGCAGCCATTTTTGAATGAATGAATGAAAAAGACAAAATGAAAGAAAACCAGTCTGATACTGTCTTTTAGCACCCCCACCCCCATCTGCCTGGCCTCAGGAATGTAGACAGGGACACTCTCCTCTTTCCAATGAAACTCTTTCTTTCTTTTAGCTTCTCTAGAGGTTCCACGACAACACTCTAGCAAGAACACCTGGGTTCTGCTGCTTGGAGTCATCTAAAATCTCCACATGGCTTTTAACTTACTAGTTTAAAATATAGGTAGAAGATAGATCAATAGAGAGAGAGAGAAAGACAGAGAGAGAGAGAGAGAGAGGATATCTTCCATTGGTGAGGGTATGAGAAAGTGGTCACTCTGATTCTTTTTTTTTTTTTTGGTGGGAGAATAAAATAGAAAAATACTTTAGGAAGTTAATTGGGCAGACTCTATCAAAATTAAAAATGAGGCTATACTTTCACATAACGATCCCACTTCTAAAAATCTCTCCTACAGAAATACTCACATAAAGTTATATGTGAAAGGATGTTTACCAAAGCATCCATTCTAAGAGTGAAAAATTAGAACAACCTAAATGGCCAAGAGTTGCATACTGGTTAAAGAAATGATGATACTGTAACACTTTGCAGTCATTAAAGAATGAGGTAGATCTATACGTACTGATGTAGAAAGATGTGCCTGAGATATTGTTAATGAGAAAACAATTCAACCTGTGAACACTGTGTAAAGAATCATTCCCATTTTTAGGGAACTTGGCACACAGAAATGGATTTGTCAGAATCTGTAGCCATGACCCACACTAAATGTGGGTGGACTGTATATACATATTGGGAATATATAATAAATATGGATCTACACTTGTATATACAAAAACAATTTAGAAGAATATATGCCAAACTCCTGACAGAGACCACTTAGAGGAATAATTTCACTTTCTATTTTAACAAATGGAGATTCTGATTGCCGGCCTACTTCTCTATCACTGTCCAATGAGGTCAAGACATTAAACACCCTGAAAACCCAAAGACTCAGACTTTACCAAGTACTTTTGACAAAAGGCATCAGAGCTCAGAGTGCAGTGGGGAAGAACAGGGATCTGTGGCCAAGTGCCTGGTTGGAGCAGCTCTGCCATGTCCTAGTGGGAGACTTTGTATTAGTATTTACCTTCCTGTGCCTCCTCTAACTCATCTGTGAAATGGAGACAATAAGAGTTGTCTCAAAGTTAAAGGAGTGCTTCTCCTGGTAAGCACTGGAACAGTGTCTGCATGTGGGAAGTGCCATGGAAGGGTGAGCATTATCATTATCATCATTATTACCACCGCCATCACCACCATCATCATCACCATCCTCTTCATCATCACTACCATCATTATCACCATTACCATTATCACCACCATAATCACCATCATCATCACCATCATCACCATTACCATCATCATCACCATTATTACCAACACCATCATCATCACTATCATCATCAATATTACCATTATTATTACCATCACTGTCATCACCATCATTACCATTATCATCACCATTATTACCATCACTACCACCATCATCATCAGCATCATCACCATTACCATCACCGTCATCATCATCACTACCATTATCACCACCATCATCACCATCATCACCATCACTATCACCATCATCATTATCACCACTATCATCACCATCATCAGTACCATCATCAATACTATCATCATCATCACAGTAGTGTTAGGTCATAGACATGATGTACAGGGCACAAACCAAGCATTAAAACCAAATCTAAAATAGCAGTAGGTATGCCTGATTATTTGTTAAATTCATGTTGCATGCAATGTCGGCAATGGGCACATATGACTGAACTAACAATTTTTATTCTTCATCTTTCTATGAACACTCTCACGATAAATTTATGAGGCTATGTCTTATTGTCTTTTGGTGATCACATGTGCTCGTTGGAAATTCATAAATTTAATTTTAAGAAGTTATAATAATAAATTAGAATTGATTCTGGCTAGGAAAAAAAATCTCCTTAAATGCACCATAAGTTTATTGCAAACTCAGAATTTTACATAGAAATTTTCTTCTTGATATTTTGGGTGCCTAGCTTGATGTTACAGATATGTTGATGATGTTTTTCTTTTCTTTTCTTTATTATTTTTTTTTGAGACGGTGATGTTTTTCTTTCTTTCCAAAATGGCACTTTATTTCTAGTATTCTCCATGTAGGACTGAAAAAGTCTTTTAATAACTCTGAGGTACTCTGTGCTCAAAACTGAAGTTTTAAATGAAATAGGCTTTAAAAATGTGAGCAGAAATGATATTGTTTCATGAGATTTCAAAAATAAAATGCAGAGAAAAAGTTTTTAAAAATATTTCCCAGCAGTGCAATGATCTCAGAAATGAAGTGCCCAATAACGGCAGCAAATCAGCCACGCTGAGATGGAAAACAAGCTACTGCTCTGCAGGGAGGGACAGTCTCTGCAGGCACGTGGGGACAGCGTGCCCCAGAGTGGAGCCGCACCATGACACCTGGGACCAGGGTGGACTGCACAACCAGGAAAGGCCACCCATGGGCTGGCCTGCTGGATGTGCAGGCCTGCCTCCTGCCTAGGCCATCCTCCAGCCCAGCACATCTCCCTGCACCTGCTCACCTTGGTCAGGTGACTCCCAGGCTCATGCTCCCACCTCTCTGGCACCTTGCCCCCTGCCTATCAGCGCTCAACAATTATTGGGGAATGAATAAATAGAAGACTGGGAAAGCAATGTGAATGAATCAGTGATGCATTAAACAGGAGAAGCACATAGTCCTGAGGGGGCCAATTCCAAAGTCAAGTTCCTTCTCAAAGCACAAAGCCACATTACCCTTCTAGAACAAAGTGGGGACAACTCTGTTGGTAGCAATCTGCAGTAGGATTCCCTTTGTCTCCCAAAAGGGAGGCCTAAGGAGAGCTTAAGGAGCTCCCCAGTTTTAAAACATTTCTTGAGGCCAGGTGCAGTGGCTCACACCTGTAATCCTAGCACTTTGGGAGGCCAAAGTGAGAGGATTGCTTGAGGCCAGGAGTTTGAGACCAGCCTGGGCACATAGCGAGATCCCAGCTCCACAAAAAAAAAAAAAAAAAAAAAAGTTAGATGTGGTGGCACATGCCTGTGGTACCAGCTACTTGGGAGGCTGAGGCAGGAGGATCAGTTGAGCCCAGGAGTTTGAGGCTATAGTGAGCTACGGTTGCCATTGCACTCCAGCCTGGGCAATAGAGCAAGACTCTATATCAAAAAAAATAATAAATAAATAAAGACTCCTTGAAAGTAACTGTGTCACTTAGCCCACCTTCAACAAAATTGGAGCCCCAGTGAATTTCTATTGGTCTCTGACACAGCTGAGAAGCACGTGACCTGGTTCTTGCTAGGCAAGTGTTGGCAGGGGCAGGCAGTAGAGGGGCCTTGGCACTAACTGTGTGGCCTGCAGGGAAAAGACAGCCCTGTGTCAAGGTTAACAGACTTCCTGATACAGGATATTCTCACTTCCAGTGTGGGAGAGATATGATCTTGATCACATCCAGCTTACCGAACGCCGAGATACCTGCTCTCTCTAGACTGGAGGAAGCCATGAAAGCAAATGGCTTCTGTTTTCCGCACGCCCATCCCTTCTGAAGCCTCAGCATCCGTTCTTCCCTCCAGCTGACATACATAACTCCCCGCAACAATAATGGGCTGTGCATGTGTACCTAGGGGAGCATAGAAATTTTATCTCTGCAAAAATGGTACTAGCGTGGTACAAGCAAAGTTTGTATTTTTTTCCCAAGGCTTTTACTTGGGGCAATATATTGTACATGTGGTTGTGGCTTTTTTTCTTCTTTTTAATTTTAAATCGAGATTATGAACATATTTTATGCAGGTTAATATATCCTTTTCATGTAAAATTTAACTGAAACCAGTTCTAGCACATTAACGACAACAAGAGAAATTCTCTGGCTTATTATAAACATCCTTCAAGAAACCTGAAATGCATGTCCTCTGGAAATAATTTTGCTGGGATTTGGGTTATTATTAAAATCCTCTCAGAATTCTATCACTGCTTTCTAATGTGCTTCAAAGTCCTTTTCTGCTACTGATAAGAGACAGATTCTTTTTTGGCCCTGGCAGTACATTCTCAATGGTGAAAACTAGGGCCGGGGGAAGAAACTTCTTCCCAACACCCAGCAGATGTGGAACAAGGCAGGGCATCTCAGCCCTGGGCTGGCCACACTATGGTTTTCAACAGCGCTATGGAGGAGGCAGGTTCCTACGGCAGGGTCCCTCTGAACAAGGATGAATGAACTACTTCCTTTCTGTCCATTTTGAGCATTCTAATCTTTGGGTTTCTGTGAGAAGAGGGAGGCTTACTGTGGACTGTAAGCTTGAGGGAATCACAGGCAAGTAAGTCTTGGTCACCTGGCCAAGTGCTACACTAGGAGATCATGGGGCAAGGCTACATATACCTGGTTGACATACGGATGAGCTGTTCTGGAAAGGTTTGCAGGAATTAGGGAGAGTCACAAGGACTTTTAGAATTCTCATATTTAGTTTTCTCCTTGTTGACAGATAAAACAACTCCCTTTCTCCCCAGGGGGCTGACCTGTCTTACTAAAGTGAAAGCAGAGTCCTCTCTGGAGGTGGGTGGCAGCGGCTCTGGATCCTGATAGCGTCGACCCCACCAGAGGTGCCTACTTAGTCTGAAAAGTTAGTCAGAGCCACACTTCTCAAACTTTACTGTTTATCATATTCATCTGGGACCTCGTTAATTGCAGGTTCCACTTCAGTAGGTCTGAGTCAGGGCCGGAGATTCTACTTTTCCAACAAGCTCCCAGGCAGTGCCTGGCCTTCTGGCCCACAATTGGAGCAGGGAGGACTCAGACTAAGTTCCAACCACAGATCCTCCCACGCAAACATTATTCATCATTCACTCCATATACATTGGCCAAAGGGGCGCTCTAGTGACTCCAGGTTCCCTGCTGAGGATATCATTAGGGGTAAGACCAGTTCTCCCTGACTTTAAAACCAGTTCCCATGTAAATTTAAAGCTTCTGGGAATCAAGGGACACAATTAACAGAATGAAAAAGTCACTACAGGACAGGTGAAAATTTTGGCAAATTATGTAACTGATGTGGAATTAAAATTCACAATATATAAAGAACTCCTACAATTCAGCAACAACAAAAAATCAAACAATCTCTTTTTTTAAAAATGGTCAATGGACTTGAATAGCCATTTCTCCAAAGATAGACAAATGGCTGACAAGAACATAAAAAGATGCTCAACATCACTCATTAGGGAAATGCAAATCAAAACCACAATGAGATACCACCTCACACCCATTAGGATAGCTACTATCAAAGAAAAAAAAAAGGAAACCAACAAGTGTTGGTGAGGATATGAAGAAATTGAAACCCTGTGTGCTCTTTGTAGGAATGTAAAATGGTGCAGCTGATTTGGAAAACAGTGTAGCAGTTTCTCAAAAAACTAAAAATGCCATTACCATCTGATCCAGCAATCCCCCTTCTGGGTATATAACCAAAATAATTAAAAGCAAGAACTCAAACAGATATTTGTACACCATGGTCACGTCAGCATTAGTCACAACAGCCAAAAGATGGAAGCAACTCCGTTGTCCAGCAAGGGATAAATGGATACAAAAAATGTGGTATATACTTACAATAGAATATTATTAGGCCTTAAGAAGAATGAAAATTCTCACACACACAGCAACGTGGATGAATAAGGACATTATGCTAAGCAAAATAAGCCAGTCACAAAAGGACAAATACTGCATGATTCCACTTCTATGAGGTTGCTAAAGCAGTCAAATTCATTGAGACAGAAAGTAGAATGGTGGAAGCTAGGGGCTGGCTGGGTGGGAGTGGGGGGTGTTTCTTGAGTACAGAGTTTCAGTTTTGCAAGATGAAAAGAGCATTGGAGATTGACCACACCACAGTGGGAGTGTTTCACATGACTGAATTGTACACTTAAAAATGATGAAGATAGTACGTTTGCTGTTATGTGTATTTTACCACGATTTAGCTTCTGGATGGGAATGCCATGGGCTAAGGCGGGATATCCCATGCACACTGAGGTGTGGGGCAGGCCATGAGCTCCGTGTGTGCTTATGTCATGGCGGATTTGAGGTGCCTGTGGGCCCTCCAGGGGAGTGTCTGGTCAACAGTCAGAAGGGTTGTTCTGAAATTGGCTTGAGGACCCCCGTTAGGGGACCAATGGGCTGCACAGATGGCTGCTGTGCCTGTGAATGTCAAGGAGAAGACAGCCCAAGAGAAGCCAACATTCTAGGACAGTGGAGGAGGGGGAGGCAGCCTGACCACCTGTGGAGGAGCAACAGCCAGGGGTAAAAGCAGTCAACCAGAGGGCCCAGGCCTCTCAGGACCACCTGCAAGTACAAAGGTGGGCGGACCATGAGGGGGCATCCAGGACAGAGGAACCGAAAAGTGCCCCAAGAGCTGTCTACAAGCAGGTCACTGACGTGAACAGGCACAACTTACTCAGATGCCTAGGCCAACCTAGATTCCAGAGAAGTGGGGGGCAGAGGGGAGGAGGCCTCAAAAAGAAGGTGGTGAGTGAGCCACATCTTAGAGCTGAGCAGCAGCTCTGCGGGAGGATGAGGCAGGCGTAGGTGAGGACAGAGGACCTAGACCAATTGGGGTCTCAGCAGGATGAGGGTCCTGGGTGGGGTGGGCCTGAGGGAGCGCAGGCAGATTATGACAAGAGCCAGCCGCTACTCACAGGAAGCCGCCTCATCCTGGAGGCGAGAGGGAGCCATTTACGCAGGGAAATGACACAGATGAAGCTGTGTTTTAGAAAAATCCCCCGGTAGCCACGCAGAGGATGGATTGGAGTGAGAAGACAGGATGCAAGCGCTTCCCTGGGAAACGTGCAGTGATTAAGCCTGTGGTGCTCCTGGTTTTCTATGTCTTTCGTCTGGGGCTGGCTCACAGAGATCATTTTCTCCCTAGAGAACAGGGGTGGCCTGACCCCCTCAGCTACCCTAGGGCTTCATTATGGAGAAGGAGGACTTGCAGATGAGGTGTGGGTGACCCATTGTGGAGGAGGGCATGGTTGATGACGAGGCATGGAAGAGCCTATCCAAGTTCATTCAACTCCAAGGTTGACACTTGCCACCTTCCAGTTAATGTTGAGATGCTGACTGCCCTCCTTCCCCATTCAGGTAACAGTCCTGTGTCCTGCGGCTGTTTTTCCTTTAACTCTGAGGTTTTCCTTCCGCATCATAGAAAAGTTCCGCTACTTGGCCTCTGAATCAATAACTGACAGAAAGCAATAAAAATAAATCAAATGTACTTCTGGCTTTCTCAGTGTCTTCTGAAACAAGGAAGTAATGACAGCTTTTCCTGGAAGTGTGTGAATCAGCTCCAAGGCTTCCGAAGCTTTGCTGCAGGGCATTTAGCTCCTACGGCCCCAGGAGGCTTCAAGGGATGCTTGGGCCAATGCCTCACCCCAAGGGGATGAGGGAGCACTGATATATGGGAATTGTAAATGTTTATTAGACAAACTGGTCACAGTGTCAGACAGAAAGCGCCTGTGTGATCCATGTGGCCTCATTATCTGATTAGCAGAACTTTGAAAGCAGGTTGTTGTGTTTGGTTGTTTTGTTTTAAAAAAAGGAAAAGCAGTTTTGATACCTTGATTTTAAAATGTCTAAAATGCTTTTCTCACTTTCTTCTTTTTTTTTGAGACACAGTCTCACTCTGTCACCTAGGCTGTAGTGCAGTGGTGTGATCTCGGCTCATTGCAACCTCCATTTCCCGGGTTCAAGCGATTCTCCTGCCTCAGCCTCCTAAGTAGCTGGGATTACAGGCATGTGCCACCATGCCCGGCTAATTTTTTTTGTAATTTTTGAGGAGACGAGGTTTCACGATATTGGCCGGGCGAGTCTCAAACTCCTGACTTCAGGTGATCAGCCTGCCTCGGCCTCCCAAATTGCTGGGATTACAGGCATGAGCCACCATGCCTGGCCTCACCCTTTTCTTCTTTTGTCCTACTATTTTTTAAAAACTTCTGACTACTGTTAATGTCTAGTGTACACACTTCTTGCAAAATGCAATGTTGTCTTGGAAACCTAAGAAAAGATTCCCACTTGTTAACGGCTTGGGGATTGCAGACATAAAGATACGTGCTTTTCACCCAGAGCCTATAAATCACCTAATGCGGCAGCTGGCACACAATAGGCGCCCAATAAATGGAGGCTTTCCCTGTGAGCCTTCCCACTTCTTGTCAATAAGTCAGTGGAGGTTGTCAGATTGGTTTCTAGACAGAGGGGCTGGGGAGCTCTGTGGCCTAGGATCACAGCAGGAAGCACTGTGTTACAGAGATTGGGGCAACATGGAACCATTACAAAATTAGACACCTAAATTGGTACCAGGTCCCCCAAAATAAGATGTCTCCAAATTATTTTCTAAATTATCCACTAACTTTGTGTGAGTCAACAGGTGGCTATTGACTTTTGTTTGAGCTACCATCAAGACCTATTGATCTAAGAGATAAATATCGACCAAACTGAGACTGAGGTCAATGCTGGCCTCCCGGGAAAATAAATCTTGATATTCACCAAAAACTGCAGATGCTAGGCCTGATATTTTTGTCTCTAAACTAATGGTCTGATAGAGGCCCTACTGAGGTCAGCTCTTGTCTTTATTGTGAATTGTTATAGGTGTAAACTAGCTTCCAAATTGACCTTGCTTCTGGAAAATTTGGTATAAAAGCTTCCAATTTCTTTGTATTTTAAATGATCAAGGGAAAACCTGTTATTTAAAGAACTATTATTGAGAATACTTCCATAAAATAAAGAATCCTTCTGAAATGCATATAGCTGCCCCAATCAATTATCTGTGAAAATTGAGAATTTCCTATGATGAGTCCCCACCCAGAGAAGCACATCAGCTCAGACACACAAACAAGTCAACAACAAAAAACTTGTAGTCAGGACCACAGCTATATTTGAAAACTCTATTGAATCTGATATTTTTTTAGTTGCAAAAAAATGCTTAAGATAGCATTTTGCACCCAAGAGGTGCACAAAAGATTTTCATGTTTAATGGATAAATGAGAGGTGGGTCCACCCAGGCTATGCACTAGGGGAAGTTGTTTCCTGAAGACTGATGACATTACACCTGAGGGATATGGATCATGTTTCTTAAATAGTGTTGTTTGTTCTCACATGCAAAGCTTGTAGGGGGCAATGAGAAAATCTTATTGTGAGAATTAAATACGATGACATGCCAAAAGCACTTTTTTGATCTATCCCTGGGACATATCAATAAAACTTCAATATATAGTTGTTTCTGTTATTAGAAGGGGTAAGAGACTGGATTAGAAACAATATGTCCTGAGTAACTTAGAGAGAACATAAGGTGGGGAAATTAAGTGTAGTCACTCTGTAGTCACTCTTAAGGTAGTTGTTAAATATCAGAATTAGAAAGAAAAGATCTAAAAGAGCCACATAAACACGCACACCCAGATGTGCAGTGCTGCACACAGTCTAGAGGACAGTGAACTCAGCCTGTCTATCTGCAGGAGACTGAATGTAACAGGTGAGAAATGGGATGCTCCAAGGCCAAGGGAAATTGATTGTTTTAGCCTTTATGCTCCACAGTTTCCAAAAGCCCACTGACTGCCAATGGCCTATTAAAATAAGCCAAAAGGCCTGCTGCTGCCTTTAAGAACCATATGGTATAGTCAACAGAGTAGAATTGATGAGGATTTTTTGATAACATGAACCAAATGGAACCCACTATATGAAAAGCCTGCTAGAACCCACAGTTCACTGCAGGCAAAAGAAGACTCTTTAAAAAACAGGTGAAGCACAGAGCAGCAAGGACAGGAGCAAGGCTGAGCCACACAGGCATTCAGGATCACATATAGAGAGCAGCTAGGCCCAGACTCCGCACTGAGGCAAAGCTTCCAATGTGCTGGTGAAAACCTTAGATTTTGGATTAAGCCCTGACTGCAACCCACAAGCTGTGTGACCTTGGGTACATCACCCATCTCTCACTTTACTGACTCTCAGAGGCTCATGTACCCAATTATGGATGTAGAATTACAGAACCTACTCAACAGGGAGGGTGTGCAGAATCATAAACAAATATCCATTGCGCTAAACACATTTCTAAACATGAAGAATACAGCAGGAATCACAGCAGACAAGCTCCCTGCCTTTATGGATCTTGTAGCCTGGTAGAAGAGATGGATGATTAATAGATATAAACACAAAATATGTCAGGGTGGGTGGTGTTTTATATAGGCTATCAGGACAGCTCCTTTATTACATGATGTTTGATCAGAGACCACAGGGGGTGAGTAATAAGCCATGGACAGATTCTGGGGAGGACATTCCAGGAAGAGGGGAGAGTGGGTACATGGGCCCTGACACAGGAACATGCTTGGTATATTTAAGGATTAGCAAGGAGGCCAGTGTGGCTGAAGGGAAATGAGAGAGAGGGATGGTCATAAAAATCATGTCAAAGAAGCAATGGGGGCTAGATCATTCTGGGATGCACTGTCCAATGTGGTAGCCACTAGTCAAATGTGTTTACTAAGCACTGGAACTGTGGCTGTGAATTAAGATGTGCAGTAAGCATCAAATAGACACTGGATTCTGAAGACTTACCACAATAAAAATAATAGAAAATATTTAATTAATAATTGCTATATTGATTACATGATTAAATGATAATATTTTTGATAGTTAAGTTAAATAAACTATACATTAAAATCGGTTTCATCTGTTACTTTTCAAACCTTAAATGTGGCTACTAGAAAGTTTAAATTACCTATGTGGCTCAAATAATATGGGGAATTATAGGTGACAGTCATGAGGTTGGCATTTATGTTCAGCAATACAGGAAGTTCAGAGAAATGCATTATGAAGTGCTTATCCTATTTCTCTGCACCTAGTGGAAAAAGTTTATGAATCTAGAATTCCATTCACAGACAAATTGCTCAAATGGAAAGGCAAGTAAAGGTAATGAAGGGAAAGACACTGGACTCAAAAAAAAGGAATAAATAACAAAACAAAAATTAAGTTCAAATAATTGTTTAGAATATGGTGATGAAATTAGCAAATAATGATTGTTGAAATAGAAGGCATAAGGTAAAATAAAAAAGAGTCTGACAAACAGATAAAATTGGATCCATTTCTAAACTCCAAATGGATCAGAGAAATACAGGCAAAAAAGAAACTGCACAAGTACTTCATTTTAACTATCCTGGTGGAGGTGAACTGGCTTTATGCTTTTAAATTGCACTGCCATGATGCCTATTAGGTTAAGGACTTTTTATGAGTTTACTGGCTATTTGTATATCTTCTTTTGTCAAGTGCACATTTAAACCTTCTGTCCATTTTTTGGTAGTGCTGTCTTTTTACTTCTTATTGATTGGCAGGTGTTCATATGTTCTAGATAAGAAACCTTTGTCAGGTCAGCCAGGTGCAGTGGCTCATGCCTGTAATCCCAACACTTTTGGACGCCGAGGTGGAAGGAACACTTGAGGCCATGAGCTCGAAACCAACCTGGACAGCATGGTGAAACCCCAACTCTACTAAAAATACAAAAACTAACCTAGCATAGTGGCATGCACCTGTAATACCCGCTACTTGAGAGGCTGAGGCACAAGAATAACTTGAACCAGGGAGGTGGAGGCTGCAGTGAGCCGAGGTAGTACCACTGCATTCCAGCTTGGGTGACAGAACAAGACTCTGCCTCAGAAAAGAAAGAAGAAAGAAAAGAAAAGAAAATTAATGACAAGAAAAGAAGGAAGGAAGGAGAGAGAGAGAAAGAAAAAGAAAGAGAGAAAGAAAGAAAAAGAAAAGAAGGAAGGAAGGAGAGAAAGAAAGAAAGAAAAAGAAAGAAAGAAGAGAAAAAATTAAAGAAAAGAAGGAAGGAAGGAGAAAAAGAAAGAAAGAAAAAGAAAGAAAGAAAGGAAGAAAGGAAGGAAGGAAGGAAAAATTAAAGAAAAGAAAAAGGAGGGAGAGAGGGAGGGAAACCTTTGGCAGATATATGCATAGAGATATGTCCTGCCAGTCTGCAGCTTGCCTTTTCATTATTTTAACTGTATCTTTAAACAGAATAGAAGTTCTAAATGTTAATACAACCCAGATTTCTTTATCCATTCCTTCATGTTGGTGCTTTATGTGTCTCGTTTAAAAACATCTTTGTCTACTCTGAAATTAGGAAGAAATGCTACCTTCGGGAAGCTTTACTTTGTACCATTCATACTTATGTCTATGATCCATCTCCTGTTAACTTTTGTGTGTGGTGTAGAGAAGGGGCTATAGATCTTTTTTTCATATGGATATCCAAAAAACCCGTCACCAAACATTGAAAAGATAATCTCTTTTTCACTGCACTGCAATGTCACTGTTGTCATAAATCAAATGACAATCCTATGCAGTTATGTTTGGGGCTCTTTATTCTGTTCCTTTGTCTACTTGTCTGCCCTTGTATTAATACCCCATTGTATTACTTACACTTGCTTTAATGTAGATGTCGAGAATTGGCATATAAATCCTCCACCTTGCACTCCGCCCTCAAGATTGTCTTGGCATACACACCTTAGAATAGCTTTGACAGTCTTTCTTTCTCTCTCTCTCTCTCTCTCTCATGCACACACACACAACTAACTGCTGAATAATATTAACAACAAAATAAATAATTATGTAGTTAAAAACTAAAAAATAAATATCCACGGATCCATACTGATATCAAGGAATTAGTGAACAATAAACAAATGAAAAAAGGGGGCCATTTTCCTTATAGAAGAATTCCAAATAATACATCTAGAAAGATTAAGGGAAATAGAAAATCACCCTTAGTGCACCATAGTAAAATCTGCTGCAAGCAAAATCTACTGATGAATGCAAGATTAGTGGGCAAAAGTTCAAGGAAAAACAAGATATTTGCAAGCCTTAACATATCTCCCCTAAGATTTTTATTAATTACTGTGGTGGGTTTAACATATCCACAAATTCATGACATGCCTCCCTTCTGGAGGTGGAGCTCAACTCTCCTCACCTTGAATGTGAATTGGACTCAGGGACTGGCCTCTAACAAATAGAGTCTGGAAAGGAGAAAATAGTAACTTCAAAGTAAAGAAACCTGGCAGACACCACCTTAACCACGTGATTGAGATGAGCATCACCATTAACAAGATATATTGTCGTCATGTGCCCCGATACCATGCAATGAGAAGGGAGTTCCACCTCTGTGCTCTTTGTCCCCCAAATCCGTAACCCCATGATATGGTTTGGCTCTGTGTCTCCACCCAAATGTTATCTCAAATTGTAAACCCCAGGTGTCAAGGGAGGGAAGTGATTGGGTTAGGGGGTGGTTTCCTCCCCGCTGTTCTCATGACAAGCGAGTGAGTTCTCATGAAATCTGATGGTTTTATAAATGGTAGTTTTTCCTGTGCTCACACACACCCTCTCTCGCCTGCCTCCATGTAAGATGTGCCTGCTTCCCCTTCCACCATGACTGTAAGTTTCCTGAGGACTCCCAAACCATGAGGAACTGTGAGTCAATTAAAGCTCTTTATAAACCTGTTTACAAATTACCCAGTCTTGGGTAGTATCTTTATAGCAGTGTGAGAACTGACTAATACACCCCATTTCTAATGCTCAGAAAACCTCAGAGAGTACCAAATTGAGGGACATTCTAAAAAATCACTGGCCACTACTCTTCAAAAGTGTCAAGGCCAAGAAAGAAAAAGAAAGCCTGCAAATCTGTCTTGGATTGTTGGAAAGCAAGGAGATGTAACAACTAAATGCAATGTGAGATCCTGGATTTGGATCCTGCACCAGAAAAGGAACATTAGCAGGTAGACCAAAATCTGGTTAAGCCCGAAGTGTAGTTAATAGCAATGAACCGATGTTAATTTCTTAGTTTGACACATGTACCATGACTATGTAAGAAACCAACACTAAGAGAAGGTGGATGAAGGTACATGGGACCACTCTGTGCCAGCTTTACAACTTTTCTGTAAATCTAAAATTGTTCAAAATCAAAAGCTATGACATATTTTCTGGAAAACATGTGCAGCAGTATCTTTGGAGTAATTATCAGGTAAAGGTATGCAAGCAGGTCCACTTTCTATTTTATAAATTTCTGAGTATGGCTTTTCTCCCGTTTGAAACAGAGCATCTATAATATAAACTATTTGGATTTTTAAAGAGTTACTCTGGGAACTAAGTATGGAGAAAGGCTGACTCAAAAGCTGGCATCTGAGAATAGAGAATGTTTTTGTTTGGGGACAAAAGTTTCTAAAACTTTCTGTATGTTTTGAGTTAATAAAGGCACTGTTTTGGAATCTGAGTTGTGTCTGAGGCTTAAGGTATGATAGGAATACAGAAGACGGTTACTTACCAGCGTGACTTTTCTCTGTGGTTTCAGCAGCTTCGGTTTATGGAACGTGGGGGCTATCGGAGCTGTGGAAGTAGGTCAAGGGTTTAGCTTGCAGTTCCTCCCAGAACACTTAGTGGCCACACATTATGAGCATCAGGGACATATTCTGAGAGGTCTCATACCCCTTCCTGGTCCCATGGAAGAACTTTCTGATCTAGGTGTCAGCAAGTGCCCCTCGGCGGGCGTGATCCTCCCCTAGTCTTTGAACGTTTTGTCGTCTCCCTCAGCAAGGTCAACAAAACAACTCTGCATAAAACTCTGCCAGCTACATGGATGTCAGGTGTGCAGGTGTGAACCAGATGCACCCAGTGAAGGCTGAAGCTGGGACCTTCCCTGGGAGACTCCGTCCTACCCACACACTAGCGCTGATCACAATGACTCTTGAACCTCACAGCAGCCCTGTGAGGTCATCAGGGAGGGTCTTATTGTCCCCACTTAACAGAAAAAGAAAGTGAGGCCCTTCCCACGGTGTCATGTCACTAATCTTGAACCATTTAGGATTTGAACTTGGCATTGAAAGTCAGGCTCTACCACGTACCTAAGTCTCACTTTCAACTTTAGTAAGGGTGGGTAATATCTACTGTGGAATGAACGACATCGAGCAGTATGATGCCTGGCCCAGGCAGGCGTTCTCTACTCCCTTCCCTCCCAGGTCCATGCTTTTCATCCCCCTGCAGTACAACCACACCCTCCAGCCCTCTTTCCACTCCATGTGTGCTCAGCCTCACCAACAGGCTTCCCCACAGGGCTTGATGTGTCCCTAGGGGAAGCATGCAAAGCCCGCAGTTGAGGAATAGAATTGTTCATTTGGGCAACCCTTGTATTCCCCCAACTACATTTCAAATTTGCTAAGGTATGAATATCTCCTAAATTGACCAGTTATTTTAGGAACTATCTATAGTCAGTCTTGGTTCTCCTAATACTCTCGCAGTTCTTTCCTCCAGAAACACCTATCTTCCTCACTTACATTGCTCTAAATCATAACTGGAATCACAGGATAGCCGTCATTTTATACCCAGAGCAACTGTGAAATAAATTTCACACCTGGTTGACATCTTTAAAAATTCAGAGAGCTTTTCTTCCCTTGAATGAACCAAGAAGACTTCCTCATCCCAACCCACCACCCCACCTCATGTGTGGCATGTTTTAATAGTACAAAGTGAAACATAATCTGGAATCATCTGTGGATGTTGATCTTCCCCCTGCTAAAGCTATGCTAGGCCCTTGCTTCCTCCTCCAACTCCACCCCCAACCCAAGTACTGGGCTAACGGCTGAGGTGGTTGAGCACCAGTTATGCCCAGAATCTAGGTGGGGGTCCAGACTACATAATCATTAAATGTCATGTCATATTCCCCATCTGCCTACGCTCCCTGTCATAATCCAACATGGAACCCCAGACCCACAGGGATCAATAATGATAGTTTCCAGGTAAGAAACTGCAGGCCAGCTCCTTACCTTTGGCAGGGACTGCGGGAGGAATGTCAGGCTTCTCCTTCTGCCTCTTGCCCTTCTTGGGCTGTAGTGGGGCCAAGCTGGTCACGCTAGTGACAGTCTCCCCTGAGCTGTAGAAGAAAAAGTTTCCAGTGAAACCAAAGGCAGATTTGTTGCAAAAGAGAAAGGAAAAAAAAAAACCCACAATAGCTTCCAATAGTTTCTGAGTGCTCCCTGTGTACCTGTGTAAGGGAAGGTTATCATATGGGTAGACTGGAAACACTCTGTGCTCATCTCCAGGGAGGTCTGGAAGTCTGGTACTGATCTTTGGCCAAGATAAGAAGGATGAGTTGAGCCAGTTGGTGATTTATAATGAATGTGCTGTTTACAGTCCCAAATTCCTTGGAGGGACCCAGCGTTAGCTTGTGTACATTGCCTAGGGATGCATGGGTTGATGGTTGACACCTGGTTTAACTGATTACACATTTTGGCTTGGCTACATCACCAGTGGGGTATTATTTATGCCACTAGAAGTTTCTGCTTCAGCTCCCTAAAACCAAGGTTCCTTGCACACACCTCTGTGGTTCATAATCCAAAGGCAAACATCTCCCCATCACCTGGGAAAGGGTTCTGGGGAGCTGCACCTGGATGTGTCTGGGGTCCCCTGTGACTGCCGGAGCTTTCTTCTCTTGCTGCACCTTTACCTTTAGGACAGGTGAAGGGAGCTCACCTTGAGGAGCGCTGGGAGTGTTTCCAACTACCTTGACCCTGTGTAATTACTGCAGTATCAGCTTCTTAATATGTGTTAGCCATAAGCCAAAGGGACGGGAAGATAAGCCTTTTACATTACAGGTAAGAAGGCCAAGGCTTAAATAGGCTACATGATTGCTCTAAGTGACATTGTTGGTAAGCAGCAAATAGGAAAGCTGCAAACATACACTGCTCCGATATGAAACTTGTTCTCGGTGCTACTCATGGGCTGGAGTTCGCAAACTTTCTTGAATGACCATTCATCTTCTTGCAAATGCTTCCTATTCGCTCCAGTAATCCAGAGGGAAGTACCTTTTATAATCTCTTGTCCGCAGGCACATGTCCCAGCTAGGTAAGTCCAGGTCTCAAGAGAGGCTATCTCGCTAATACATACAGAATTTCTAGAAATCCATAAAAATATGACCCAATCATCAAAATAAAAGAAGGTTGGAAACAGGCAGTTTTTACACATAAGGAAAGACTCATTTACACATGAAAACATGCTAAAGCTCCCTCAGGACAGAGGAATTCCAGTTAAAGTATACTGACTTCTTTTTTTTTTTTTCCAAATCAAAATGGCTGCAGTCAAATGTGAGGCAAAGCACTATTGGTAGGGGTGCAGGGAATCTGGCACTCAAAAGTATTGCTGGCAGCAGCGTGATCTTTCCTGATGGAGAATGATTTCGTAACATCTATCAAAATTACAGGCGCTTAGACTCTTTGACCTGGCAATTTCATTTCCAGGAATTCGTTCTATGGATATCCTTGCACATGTAGGAAATGTTGTGTGCATAAGATCAGTTATTACAGCACTGTTTATAATAGCTATGGATTAGAGACAGCTCATCTTCCATCAGCAGGGACTAGTTGAGTAGATTATGGTGAATCCGTGCATAGGGTCATCTGTATAAAGACGAAGAAGCTACGTGTGTCCTGATAAGGAAAGATGCATTGCTAAGTGGAAAAGCTAGGTGTTGGACAATGTATAAAATGTGCCACTTTTACATAAAAATAAGGGGAAATAAGAATATATATTAGCATTTGCTTACACATACATAAAGAAGCTCCAGAAATATTCACAAGAATTTAAAAATAGTGGTTCCCTAGAATGGGGGTGCTAAGGAACTAAACAGATGTGAGACAGGACAGGGAGAATCATTACTGGATATGTTTATAATTAAATGCAAATAAATATACACATGGGTAATAAGAGATAGGCTATTCTAATAATAGTCCTAGATATATAAAAATAAGTAAAAACTGAATCACACGTTGTGGGATAAATTCCAAGAATACAGTTCCCACTGAGATTCCCCAAAGATGCCTTATTTTTATTGGGAACGGAGATTCTAACTGGTCATAGCTTTAGAGTACAGGGTCAATTGTGTAAATTCACAAATAGCCAAAAAGAATGTGAATTTACAAAACTTTGACCAACAATAGCAAACAAGGGATCCTAAATTCTCAGAATTGTTTACATATACAACCACATGTTCAGCTTCATTCTGTAGTTTTATAAACTCTTGAAATGCCTATTTCTTATTTCCAATATAAAATAATGCATGCTCGTGTTTAAAAAGGGTAATTACAGGCATGGAAACCAAAGAAAATAACACTGTCATAACCAAAACACAATCTTCATAAATATTTTCACTCTTTTTCCTCTTCCTTGCTTTTGCTTTTAAACAGACTTTATTTTTTAGAGAAGTTTTACATTCACAGAAACATTGAGTGGAAGATAGATTTCCCTTATAGCCCCCACCTCCACACATGCACAGCCTCCCCCATGATCAACATCCTGCACTAGAGTAGGGCATTTGCTACAACTGAGGAACCGACATTAGACATCAGTATCCCTCAAAGTCCACAGGTCACCTTAGGGTTCACTCTTGATGTACAGTATATTCTATGGGTTTGGACAAATTTATACTGGCATGAACCCAGCATCATAGCATCATACAGAGTAGTTTCACTCCCAAGTATCCTCTGTGCTCTGCCTATTCATCCCTCCCTCTACCCTAACCCTTGGCAACCAGCGATCTTTTAACGTCTCCACAGTTTTGTCTTTTCCAGGATGTCACAGAGTTGGAATGATACAATATATAGCCTTTTCAGATTGGCCTCTTTCACTTAGCAATATGCAATTACCCTTCCTCCGTGACTTCTCATGGCTTGACAGCTCATTTCTTTTTTTTTTTTTTTTTTCTTTTTTGAGACAGTCTCTCTTTGTTGCCCAGGCTGGAGTGCAATGGCACGATGTCAGCTCACTGCAACCTCCGCCTCCCGGGTTCAAGCGATTCTCCTGCCTCAGCCTCCCGAGTACCGGGGATTACAGGTGCCTGCCACCATGCCCAGCTAATTTTTGTATTTTTAGTAGAGAGGGGGTTTCACCATGTTGGTCAGGCTAGTCTTGAACTCCTGACCTCAGGTGATCCACCCGCCTTGGCCTCCCAAAGTGCTGGGATTACAGGCATGAGCCACTGCTCCCAGCCTGATAGCTCATTTCTTTTGGGCACTGAGTAATATTCTGTCATCTGGATGTACCACAGTTTATGCATTCACCTGCTGAAAGGCATCTCAGCTGCTTCTAATTTTTAGCAATTATGAAAAAAGCTGCTATAAACATCCATGTGCAGTTTTTTTGTGTGTAGATACAAATTTTCAACCCTTCCTTGTTCATATATAGTGTTTTTTAAATCATATTATATTATAATTTTGTATTCTTAATTTACTTAATCTAAATTTTTCATATTTATATTCTCATACTATTCCAGTGAGGAAATAAGCCGATGTTTACTTAGCCATTTCCCTAACATCTAAAGATCTCATTTCTTTCTCAGTTTAATATAGAAATGACACTGCTAAAAATGTATTTGTGCATAATGGTTTTTTATTCTTAGACTTTCATTTTGGGGTTGAATTTCTAAAGCTGGAATTACCAGGTCATGGAAAAGGACCATTTTCAAGGCTATTTAATACTTACTGTCAAAATGATTTTTGACAAGTTAGTACTACACCACAGCTATGCCACTCAACAAATGAGAATACCTACGTCACCCTCCTTAACACCACTTGTCAATTTTTTTAAAATGACTCATTTAATGAAGAAAAAGCTGATTCCTTTTTGATTTGCATTTCTCTGATTTCTAGTGATAATGGACACTTCCCATGTTTGTCTAAGGAGTTTTCTCATTTATGATGGAAGGATAGCTCCTTCTCTTGATTTAGGATTTTTTTTTTTTTTGGATCTTGATTTAGGATTTTCTTGATTTCTGCTCTTGATTTAGGATCTTGAGCTTTTCTTACAGGTTTGCAAGCAACTTTTACACCATTTGGACATATTTATTGAAAAATATTTTTCCCAATTCCCTTTGAATTCTGGCTTTTTGTTCCATGCAGTTTTTTAATTTGTTTTTGCTAAAATCTTTTGACATTTTCCTTTCTTCTTTTGCCTCAAAACTTGGGTAGTCTCCCCAACTGCACCTTGCACGGTGTAGAATCAAATAATATTTCCACTTCCTATTCTCTTTTTGGATTTTTTTTAACTGTTTAATATAAAATGGAAGTTTCTGGAACATCATTTTTGTGCACTTATAACATTATGTTCAGGGATTTCCTTAAGGTGGAGAACACCTGCTTTGTCATCATAATTTTCCTTCAAAACAGTAAAACTGCACTAAATTTAATTTTAATTCATATTTCGACAATTTGATCTCATTTAGACAATGAATCACCACATTGACATAGGATAGACACTCTCTCAGAATCTTGTTTCTCCCCTTGAGCCAGCAGGACTGGTCGGAATATTTGGCAAGGAAAGTCCACCTTATGATTAACTTACAAGAAAAGTTATTCGACATCTCAGGTTGGAACAGGGCTATATTTTGTCTCTGACACAACAGAGCAAGCCTTGTTGGAGTGAGTCAAACCAAGAAAGACAGAAAACAGGCCCGCCCGGAAACTCCCTCTAAATTAGAGAGCTGTTTGATTAGAGAGAAGTGCTATTTGTGGGAGCTCATTGTGGAGCAAGGCTATTTTTCTGCCTCCAACAAGGGCAGGCAGGATGTCGCACGTGCAGAGGCCTTGCTGTAAGATGTACCAGGTTCCGGCCTGGCCACCTGCCAGAAGGAGCTTCTGTCCCACAAAGGCTTGGCAGTTTTGCTCCATGACACACAGCGGCTGGATTGAGTGAACAGGTGCTGAACAGGGGTCAAAAGGCCACTAAAGCTGATTCTACTTTGACCAGAGAGGTGACCCTGGGCAAGTCACTTACTTCCCCGGGCTTCCACCCACCAATCTGTAAAAGGGGAGGTGTATGTTGGCTATCTCTCTTGCAAAGTTATGAGGGTCAGATGAGAGAGCATAGCCTAAATTAGATGGGGTGTGAAACAGCTAAATAGCAACTGACCCTAGTCTCCAGGGTACAGGTGCAGTGTAGACGTTTCATGGTACTACCCAGGGAGGATGATGTTGCCACTTGGGTATTTCATGGTGCCCTTGTTTCAGCCCAGTGAGTAGGGCTGCAAGTTTCAACTTAGACATTGATCAGAAAGTCTTCCTGCCCAGGATATTACAGCATGACATCCCCTTGACAGCTGCCCTCCCACTAATAGAGCAGTGCTGGAAAGCACCGCTGCAGGACAGACCAGGCAGGTCATGAGAGAGGCTGCATTCCTGAGCGATGGGCAGCCACTCCAGAACACCAGGCAAAGCAGCCAACCTAGATTTTGCAAGGTATTGAACAAATTCTGAGCAACCATATTTTTCAGAAACTAAAGTTAACAACAGTAACAGCTATGTTTGTGTCCATCCTATGCAAGGCACTGTGGAAAGAGCTTGGTATCCGTGACCTCTGGCCCTCCTTGTTGCAAAAATGGGGCCTCAGAGAGATCAGGTCCTTCTCAAAAGTCACCAGCTGAGAAGGGGACATGGGACTTGATCCATGTTGGCCTGCTTCCTCTGGCCCTGAAGCAAGGACCCAGGACCCAGCCCAGATAACAGATAACAAGAACACTGGAACAGGAACAAGGTCAATAGAGCCAGAGCCACAGTGGCTACTCCCAGTTTAAACCATCTCCCTGAAGAGAAGTACCAGAAGGAGACATTAACATTCTACTGCATTTCAAGTCTGATTTAGATTCAGCGTGGGGAACCCACAGCACTGTTGCAGCTGCTCAAACTCCTGCCCCAAAGGGAGGAGGAGAGGCCAACCCAGGTAGTGGGGTCTTGGGGACTGAGGGTGTGGCTGGTGCCTAAGACCCAGGGCCATCCTGAGAAGGAAGCGCAGAGGAGGAAGGGGGCATGTGCCTGGAAATCGTCTGGAACAAGTGATGTCAGCTGCCAAAATGAAGGTGGGCATGGTGGGCTAGCCAGCTGGGAATTTTGTGCCTCTAGCACTAAGAGTATTTGGGAGCAGAAGGCGGGGAGCAGTTTATGCAGGAGGAACAGCATAAACTGAGCTGATTCCACCAAAAAACATAATTATAACTAAGAAGCATGCACCCAGCCACACTCTGCTTTCAAAACTAAATGTGAGGTCAAAGCAACTTGTGCTGAACCACAGTGCATGTGGCATCAGGAGTCCTCACCCCTGCCTTTAATGTCCCTGGGCCATCAAATGGTCCTTCTAATATAGTCTCTCTCTGGGATGTGCAGGAGGTGCAGCGAACTGTGTGAGCCAAGGGACTTTCACAAATCCAGCCATCTCAAAGATGCTGGGTGCTTCCTCTGGCCCAGGGCGATCTTTGCACCCGGACATACGAATTACAAATCAAAACACTTCTTTGAGGTCTGTTCAATCTTATTCCTTCTTGAATGAGTAGATGCCCCTCCTCCTGGGCACAAAGCTGTCTGTCACACTCCAAAGGGATGTATTGTGGTCTGAACTGGGACACCTAGGGATGTCAAATGCTTTCGTCAAGCCAAAGATCCCCATTCAGAAACCCTTAGTGCATGGAGCTAATGGAGCTGTGTTGGCTCCAGTCCTCCCAACATCCTTCCAGGCCCCCTGAGCTCTTCTTGCTCCACACATCTTTGAAAGGTGTCGCTTCAGCTGATTATTTTACTTCCAGAAACGTCCATGTATTTCCTGTCTTCCTGCCTATCTTGGTTCTGACAAGAAAGATGTCTGACACAGATGGAGGGAGGGATCCATCCGTTTCTTTCCAAGCAGCTCTATGGCCTCCTTCCAAGATTTCACACAGCACACTCGCCACCCCATAACCCCATGCCCAGAACATTATGTGCAGAATCTTGAAGGAGGGGCATTGGTCTCCACAACTATGGTGGCAATTCGTTGCCATCTTTTAAAGTAAAATGAATAATAGTAACAACTGTAGATACCCCTTCTCCCCAAGGTCAGCTGCCATTGATAAAGGCCAAGAACTCATGCAAACAGGGGGAGTTTCCTAATGTCTTGCCTTAGGCTTTTTGAACTTGCTCCAGCAGCTTTCCCTGCCACTGAAACACACAAAGTCAATTGGTTCCATATGCCAGGAGCTGCTTAAAAGTTGCAGAACTTCACTTTCAAGATGGATGAATGGTGCCACCCACTCACAGGGACCCTTTGAAATGATTCTTTTCCATTAAGTGGGTGACATGAGCCAACCACATAGAATTGTGTCTAGTGCACAGTAAGTGCCTACAGGGAGTCACCTATCATGACCTTACTGGCAGTATTATCCATAATTATTACCACAGAAAATGCTCTCCGAGTCCTTGAATCGGAAGCAGGACAAGGCAGTATTCTCTACAACCCAAGTGAGTGCCTATGCACCCAGAAAGGATGCCAGACCCTTGCGGGTTGCAAAGCTGTGCTCTCTGCTGCATCTGCTCCATGACATTTCTGCATGCATCCTCTGCACAGCATTAGAATAAATGCTACTCCTTTGTGAGGTATTTGCCAAGCCATCTCCCTGTCCACAGTGCCCCCATGACCTTTACAATAAATGGTTTACATCACCCAAGAAGCTCATCCTTAGAGCCACAAGAAGCTCCTGCAGCCGCGAGGGAAGCTCTTCCTTTGTATTTCCCTGCTGGCTTCATGAAGTCCACAGCAGAGACTTTGCCAGGCTGGCGTTTTTGTTTGTGCTAACATTTTTTTACACTAGCTGGTGAGATCAGGAGATACTTTAGTGGTGCTCCACAGGGTCGCAGGCTTGGCTCCTAGTAATAATGGCAGGGAGAGGTGACTCCTCAGCATCTGCTCAGCCAGGGGTAAGGCTGTATTTGGGTGGGAGACCCCACTCCCTGTTCAGCTTCAGTCCATGCTGGAGGCTGCTCCACTAACTGCCGGGTTGTGCCTGCTGGTTAGGAAGAGAGATGACTCATTCACAAAGGCCATGGATGGATGCATGTGGGCTGACCCCTGCTGGCACCTGTCCCTGCCCAGGGGAGCCTGCCTGGCCTGGGTTCTCATCACCACCTAGACACAGCACTTCCCAGAGAAGGGCAGGGGCTGGAAGCCACCACCCTGATGACCCTGTGTCCCTCTGGCTAGAGCTGCCCTGAGACCTGCCCACTGTAGCATCCCTAGTTAAGTGAGCTGCAAGATTCCTCCCTGGACAAGACATTCTGAGCCGTCTTTTCTGTCACCTGGTATATTAGTTCATTTGTGTTGCTATAAAGGAATATCTGAGACTGGGTAATTTATCAAGAAAAGAGGTTTATATTGGCTCATGGTTCTGCAAGCTGTACAGGAAGCACGGTGCTGGCATCTGCTTCTGGGCCTCTGGTGAGGGCCTCAGAAGCTTCCAGTCATGGCGGAAGGTAAAGGAGGGGCCCGCATATCATCCGGCGAGAGGGGGGCAAGAGAAAGACGGAGGAGGGGCCAGGCTCTTTTAAACAACTAGATCTCGTGTGAATTCATCAGGTGAGAGAACTCATTCATTACAAGGACAGACCAAGCCATTCATGAGGGATCTGCCCCCATGACCCAAACACGTCCCACCAAGACTACCTCCAACACTGGAAACTACATTTCCACATCAGATTTGAAGGGAACAAACATCCAAGCCATAACCTGGATTCAGAAGGTTTGTAAATGACAGAGGGCTAGTCATTGGTCTAATCATTGGCAGTTTCATCCATGCTCTTAGTCTGAGGAAACCAACTGTGCCTTGCAGAGTTTTTCTGAGAATAAGACATAAATCCAGTAAAGAGCTGGGCTGCACCAGTCTACGACCACTGTTCTCTCATTGAATTCCTATGGAAACCCTTAGCGACAGGGACAACAGGCAAGTCTGTGCCTGCTGTGGAGGATGAAACATTCCCAGAAAGGCTGAGTAAGTGGCCCAAGTTCACAAAGCTGCCAAGTGGCACAACTCTACCTGACACTGAAGCTGTCGGAATCCAGGTGCATATTCTTTATGCCAGGAACCACCCCCATCTCACAGGCCTGCCCTCCCCACTCCCACCCCTGCCTGGAGGGCTGTGGAAGAAGGACACTGGGCCTGAGTGCTTGGATGCGGTGGGGACATGACAAGGTAGTAATGACCGTGGGAGCATGGGAGGGAGGTGGCCAGGGAGACCCCGTCCCTGCGTCTACTGCCCCCATCCTCACCACCTTGCTTGCTCAGGTGGATGTGGGCAGAGGGAGGGCACAAGCATGCATGTGAGTTAAAATCCAAGCAAACAACAGTGAGAAATGGCTGGGGCACAGCATAAGTCTGTTTAGAGTTCTGGTGTTCTTTGAGACTGAGGGTTCACTCAGGAGGAGAATGACCTGACTCTGACATGTGTCCCAGAAAAGCCCCTGAAAGAACTGATTAATCTGACCCTACAACTGATCACAGTAAAGCCTGTTCATTTTGGTGAGGTTTGCTTTTGCAAATAGATGCCTCTAATGAGAGGCCATTGGACCTCTCGAAGTCAGGGGGCTGCAATGTCTCTGCAGCCATCCTCAGCTTCCATATCTATACCCTGCCGCTTCTCCTTCCATTGCCTTGACTTTCTGTACCATTCATTGCTGCATTATAACTTCCCTCATTGGCAAGTACTTTATTATCTCAATCCCGTAAGTAGAGATGAAGCAAAAGGCCAGGAGACATCCTGGCTGGGCATTAGCTTTGTGGTGCCCCTTCAGTCCTCCTCACAACTTTCCTTGCCCTGCAGGAAAGAAGGCATCTGGATCCATTGGAGAGTCATTGCAGAATGGACTGCATCACAGCTCTGTGCAACTGGGGGGATTTCGTTTTCACTCCGGGTTTCCAGGAATTTTGGAGCAATTTTATATCCTCCAGCTGAGCTGCTCTCAGGGCTGTCCTCCCTGGGAAGGGCACATTGAACCTCACAGATCCCTGAGACGCTTACTCAGGCCCTGCTCTCTGCTCTGCATCCTCAGAGCATTCTGCCCTGGGAAAGGAACAGTCTCCCACTCCTGAAGGTCAGGGCCACCCCTCCAAGAGACAGCAATTTACAACCTCAGGGACAATAAACATTCAAGATGAGATTTATTTTCCTTCCGTTTGAACTTTTCTTAGCAAGTCATGGAATTCCCTTGAGTCTCCAGGTTCTGGCCCAGTTACTTGGCAAGGCCCCTCATTCAGTGACCGCAGCCTCAGAGCCAGCACATGGTCTCTTCCGGAGGCCCTTCCCCTCCCCTGCCTGAGGGTTTCCAACCCAGGCATCTTCTCCTGACCCTGTGCTTTTTGTCTGTTCCCCCTTAGGAAGAAATGGTCAGAAGCCAGAGAAGGGCATTCTTCTTGATCACAGCTTAAGACCCAGGGCCCCATTTGCCCATGGCAGCAGCACAGAGCAGGCAGACAGATGAGGGTGCTGGGACCTGGGAGCTACTGGCACAACAGGGACGGGAGGAACTGCCTGGGCTACAGAGGCAGAGCACAATTCAGGCCAAAGCCAGGCATAAAGGCAAGAATTGACCAATTCACTAGCACTGGCGGCCAGTCTGGGCTGCACTAAGTCAAACAGGCTTGAGGTTCTAATCGGGAAAATGAATGCAAAGTTGGCCAGGAGCTGACTACCAGGTTTATGGGTCAAGGCCTGGCCCTAGCAGGGTCCTGGGATGGAGGTAGAGTAAATGCAGGCTTTCTAGAGGCAAATCTGTGGGTTGACCCAACAGGAGACTGCTCATAGGGAGAACTGCCACTCAGACACCCAACCAACCTGACAGTGCCCAGCATGGCTGGCAGAGAAGGAGGCAGCCTTTCAACAAGATTCTGCGGTCATCTTGACCTCATTTATCCCAGGGCTGAGGGGAGATCAAACTCTAATGTCCACCAGGCTGGAATGACATCCTTGCTGTACTTCCAGCCTCAGTCAGCCCCAGTTCAGAATGAGGAAACTGTAAGGGAAAAAAGAGGGGCCCCAGTAGCCAGAGGCTGCTTGCTAGACACAAAAGGCCAGACAAAAACATCACAGAAAGCAAATCCTGAGCATGTTGGCGGGCTGATCATCCACAGCTCTGACAATCTCCAGCCATTACCCAAGTCTGAAATGCCAGAATCACCCTAGTCTTGGGGGCCTTATTGGGACATATGCTTGAAAAAAGAAACAAATGGTTTTATTGAAGCATAGTTGACGTACCATAAAATGTACTGATCACAGGTGTATAATTCAATAGCTTTTAGATTCATGCATCACTACAATACAGTTTTAAAACATTTCTATCACCCCCAAAGGTTCCATCTTGTATTTTTATAGTTAATCCCCACTCCCACCCTCAGCTGTAGGAAACCACTAATCCCCTTTCTGTCTCCATAAATGTACCTTTTCTAGGCATTTTATCCAAATGGAATCATATGATATGTAATTTTTTGTATCTGGCTTTTTCCACTTACTATTGTTGGGGCTCATCCATGCTTTGGTCCATACCCAGTGTGTTCCTTTTTATTACTAAGTGGTACCTCACTGGGTGGATATATTCATTTTGTTTTCCAATTCACAAGTTGATGGATACATCTAGATTGTCTCTGGTTTCTGGTTATCATGAACACAGCAGCTATGAACAACTGCATATATGTTTTCATGAGATATATGCTTTCAGTTCTCTTGGATAGATTCCTATGAGCGGAATTGCTGGGTCATAGGGTAACTTAAAGGTTTTAAGAAACCATCAAGTTGTTTTCCCAAGTGGTGGCACAATTTTATATTCCCACCAGCAATGTACAAAGATCCAATTTCTCCACATCTTTGCCAGAAATTGCTATTGTCTGTCTTTTGAGTTATAGCCATTGTAATGGGGGTATAGTGATATCACCTGTGGTTTTAATTTGCACTTCCCTAGTAGGTAATGACACTGAACATCTTTCATGTACTTGCTCACCATTTGGATATCTTCTTTAGGAAAATATCTGCTCAAATCTTTTGTGCCCATTTTTAATTGTGTTATCTGTCACCTCATTATTGAGTTGTGAGAGGTCTTTATATATTTTAGGAACAAGTTCTTTATCGGTTATCTGATTTGCAAATATGGGGCTTACTTATCTTTTCATTTTCTTAATGGTGTCTTTGGAAATGCAAAGGTTTTTAATTACATCAATTCTTTCATTTATGGATTCTGTGTTTAGTATCACTTTGCCCAACCCAAGGTCACAAAGATTTTCTCCTGTTCTCTTCTAGAAATGTTGTAATTTTAGCTTTTATGTTTAGGTCTAAGATCTATTTTTAGTTAATTTTGGAGGCAATGTGAGACAAGGGTCTCAGTTTATGTTTCTGTATATGGATACCCATGTGTCCCAGCACTGTCTGTCAAAAGGACAAAGCTTTCTCTTTAGAACTGCCCTGCCATCTCTATCAAAAGTCAGTTGGCCATAAATATAAGGATTTATTTCTGGACTCTCAATTATGCTACATTGATCTATATACTTTATATCAATACTTCAGTGTCTCCATTACTCTAGCATTAGAATAAGTTTTGGACAGAAGAACTGTAAGTCCTCTGACTTTGTTATTTTTTAAAATGTACATATATAATCTAGAATCAGTGTGTCACTTTCAACAAAAAACTGTTTCCACATTTAGAGATTTTCCTGCAGTCGTTTTGTTGTTAATTTCTAGTTTGATTTCACTGTGCTCAGAGAACACATTCTCTATTATTTCAATTATTTCAAATTTGTTGAGGCTTGTTTTTCAGCCCAGGATATGGTCTATTTTGATGAATGTCCCATGGAGCCTTGAAAAAATAATTGTTTTTTTACTGTTGGTTAGAGTGTTTGATCTGTCTCAATTGGGCACCATTGGTTGATTGTGTTGTTTAGATCTTCAATAACCATGCTAATTTTCTATCTACAGCAGGTCAATCAGTAGATGAGGGGGAGGAATTGAAGGATCTAACCAAAACTATAGATTTAGCTATTTCTTCTCTCTGTTCTTTCAGTTTTTGATGTTTAAATTTTGTGGTTCTGTTGTTTGACTTGTACTCATGTGGAAACTTGTCTTTCTGATGGATTGAGCCTTTATCATCTAATGTCCATCTTCGCCTCTAGTAAGGTTTTTTGCCCTGAAGTACATCTTATCAGCTACAGTACATCCACACCTGATTTATTTTATTGTTTGTGTGTTATATCTTTTTCCATCCTTTTACTTTCAATCTACTTACGTCACTGTGTATAAAGTGAATTTCCTATAAAAAGCATACCAGTTGGGTCATTTTTCTAATCCACTCTGTGAGTCTCTGAAATTTGATTGATGTATTTAGATCATTTACATTTAAAATAAATAGTATTTCAGCAATTAAGGCTACCATATTATTGTTTGTTTTCTGGTTATTTCCTGTAATTCTCATTCCTCTGTTTCTTTGTGTTACTTGCATAAATTTTAAGATCTACCTATAGGAATTCTGAGTGTATTGTTTTTGCAAAGTTATTTTAGTGATTGCTTTGGTCATTACAATACACATATGTGACTTTACACGGTCTATTGGCACCAACATTCCATTGCTTTGACAGGACTTTTGACTTCTATTTAGGTCATTTTGCCTCACTCACTTTTAAACAGTGTTGTCTTGAGCATCAGACAATTCTATAATTTTTATTTAAATCCTCAAATGTGATTTTTAAAACTCACGACTATTCATGGAAAGAACACTCTACCATATGTACTCCTATTTCTGCTCTTTCCATTATTCCTTCTTCCTTCCTAAGGCTCCAACATTTTTTTCTGTTTCAAGATTATATTTTAGTCATTAAAGTTGGTCTGACAGTGACAATCTCTTTTAGCTTTCCTTCTTCTGAGAATGTCTTTATTTCCCTTTCATGTCTGGAGGACAGTTTTGCTGGATATAAAATTTGGGGTTGGCAGTTCTTTTATTTTGGTATTTAAAAATGTGCCATTTCCTTCTGCCCTTCATGGATTCAGAGCAGAAATGCACTGTCATTCAACTTTGTTTTCTGTTCAATTATCATGTGTTTTCAAGTGGATTTTATTGAGATTATTATGCCTGGCATTCACTCAGTTTCTTAAACCTATAGGGCTTTGTCTTTTGCCAAATTTGGGGAGTTTTCAGCCATTATTTCTTCTAATACTGTTTTAGATCCACTCTGTTTATCCTCTCCTTCTGGAACTCTGATGATAGAATGTTGGATCTTTTGTCCTGTAGGTCCTTGATGTCTGTTCATTTTTTGTTTGTTTTTAGTCTATTTTCTCTCTGTTGTTCAGATTAGATAAATTCTATTGCTCTGTCATCCACTTCACAAACTATCCACTGACATCTCCACTCTCCTATTGAGCCCGAACAGTGAGTTTTTCATTTCTGTTTTTGTACTTTTTAGTTCTATAATTTCCATATGTTTGTTTTTTTCTTTATTGGCTGAGATTTTTTTATTTTGTCAACTGTTTTAAGATAATTTGAATTGATGATTGAATCTTTTTTTTTTTTTTAATAAAAACTGCTTTAAGCCTGCAGGTGGTGCCTCATGCCTGCAATCCCAGCATTTTTGGAGGATGAGGTGGGTGGATCACCTGAGGTCACGAGTTTGAGACCAACCTAGACAACATGGTGAAATCCCGTCTCTACTAAACATGCAAAAATATAGCTGGGCATGGTGGTGGGTGCCTGTAATCCCAGCTACTTGAGAGGCTGAGGCAGGAGAATCATTTGAATCTAGGAGGGTTGCAGTGAGCCAAGATCATGCTATTGCACTCCAGCCTGGGCAACAAGAGTGAAACTCCATCTCATAGAAAGAAAAAAACTGCTTCAAAATTTTTGTCAGATAATTTCAACACCTGATTCATCCCAGTGTTGATCTGATCTATTATCTCTTCTCATTCAAGTTGTGATTTTTGTGGTTTTTAAAATGATGGGTGGTTTTTTTATAGTAGCTTGTCAGAAGGTCCCAGGTCCTATATAAATCTCTTATTTTTGTAGGCAGTCACCCAGGTTTATCATGTAATCTTGGTCTGCTTCTATGGGCTATAGTTCCAATGGCATTTTCATTTTCAGAGACTTTACAGTATTATTTTGGTCTGTTTGGTTTATATGGTGCCACTGGGCCCTGCTGGTGCTGCCAGAGGGGACAGAGAGAGTTTCCTCAGATTTGGAAGCTGGATGTTTTTCAGTAGGGGAGAGAAGCCTCACACCCATGGAGATGAAGAAGCTTCCTTGCTGGGCCACTTTTGTGTCTAGGTGCCTCTTGCTGGCTCTTCCCTGAAGGCTTGGTGTCACCTGGTTGAGGAAGGGAGTCTTAGCCTGGAAGAAAAAGTGAGCTCTTCCTCTGGTGCTCATTGTGGGAGGAGCCCCTGATCCATCCTCTTTGCAGCTGATGCTGGGCTCACTTGAGGTTTTCAGGGGAACTCCCCTTTGATCCAGGGGAGGAATGAGCTTACCTGAATGTTTTCTGTTGCTAGATTGGAGTAGGAAAAAAGCAAGTCTGGGTGACCTTCTGCTGTTGGATGGGAAAACATAAGATGTCTAGCAGTTGTGTTACTCCTCCAGTCCTGGGATTCCAAACCAGTTTACCTTCTTTTCACCACCTTTCAAAGTCTTCATTTGGTTGTCTCTTATGTTATTTCCAAGGTTTAAAGCTTTACTCAGCAGGAAAGAGAAGGAAGAAATTGACCTATGCCATCTTGTCTGGATCAGAAGTCCCAAATTTTTAAACGCTTTGAATTAGCACTATCTCTTATAACTATTATGTTACCTATAAAGTGTGCCTCACCAGCTAAAAGCAGGGCATACAGTAAGTCAGCATTGGTGAAGAGAATTGGGGGTGTTTGTGGTCAAAATGTATCAAAGTGGTTCAGAGCAAGTGTGAGCCCCTTCCTAAACTGGGGAGCAGCTCTGCAGGACCATACACCAAGCCTCCTCCAGCAAGCCTGCTGGGCCAGCAAAAGCTGCATGCTCTCTGGATCCCTGGGGGTGAAAACCAGACTGTAGACCTTGGAAACATGCAAATGCATGCAGGATACACATTTGCAGGCATATTTGTGGACAAATATGCAGACTTTTAGGTAAAACTACAAATTTAATCAATTTATTGGTAATATCAAAAGAAAGTTAAATGGCAAAGAGTTTCATCTGAAAAAAGGAAGAAAATATTCTTACCTGTTCTGAGGGCATTTCACCAAATAATGTCTCACTGTGAAAGGAAAAATAATAGAAGATGGTAAACCAATGCTACTTCAGATATATATGCTCCAGGAATTACAAGGAAATGCCGGGAGCCAGGTGTTGTTCAGGTATTGGTGCTATACCACCCAACTCTCAAGACTTGCATTCTTCTGTTTGGAAGAGCACAGCAGAGCCATCACATGAACACAACAGTGACTGGATATGTCCCAGCCAGGGATCTAGCCAGGCATTAAGCCATACACCCCAGACTTCCTGGGTATTCATTTTGGGCCAAGGCAGGTTAAGTTGGGATCCTGGAGTAATAGAGTCACTCAACCTCTAAGCTCTGCCTGAGTCATAAGAAAGCCCTCTTGAGGCCAGATGGAATAACGTGTCCATTTAGAAGCTCCTCATTGAAAAATGAGTTTGAATTCTCTGATTAATGCTCTTCCAGGACTAAAAAGAGGCCCTCGGGAAAAGAGTCTTGGACCAAAACCTCCTCCTACAGGAAAACCAAATGATTCTGGCTGCAGAGGAAAAGTAAGAATACCTAGGCACATAATCCAGCAAGTGTCCACTCTGAGGTTCACAGCTGAATTTACTTCAAATAGAGGTAAAGCTGAAACAACCAGGGGGACCCTTGAATTGTGTGGTAGATTGTTACATCAGTGGACTCAGTGAATCACACCTCCTTGTATGTGTCCACACCCATGTGTACCCCCTCCCAAACTGACTCTGGGCTTGGCCATATGAACTTGCTTTGGTCAAGAGAACATTAGCCAATGTGTCACAAGCAGAGGTGTAAAAGACACCTGTGCTATGGGGTTTGCCCTCTCTTGTTGCAGGGAATTTTTCTGTCACCACATGAGGAAGCCTGGCTAGCCTACTGGAAGATGAGACTACACGGAGCAGACACCAGCTGTCCCAGCCAAGGCCCCGAACAACCAGGTCCCAGGTAATGCATCAAGAGACTGCAGCTGCATGAATGACTCCAGCTGAGACCAGCAGAAGAAATGGTCAGCTAAGCCCAGCCCAAACTGGCAACCTGTGGAATTGAGAGCAGATAATAGTTGCTTTAAGCTGTTACATATGGGGTGATCTGTTACGCAGCTTCCAAAGTAAGATGAGAGAATCTCAGCTTCAAATGGAACTGTACAGGTTTATCTCGTTCAGCCTCCTATTAATACCTAAACTCTTTCTGTATTCCATTTACCGAGCATCTACTGTATACTAGATAATCTATAGATGCAACAATAATAACAACCATAGTTAGTATTTATCGAACATTTCATGTGTCCCTGGCACTATTCTAAGCTTATTAGATGGATCAGTGGTCTTCAGTCTAGGGTCTGGATACCCCTGGGTACTCTTTGGCAAAACAGTTTTAAGGAATCACCTTAACATCCTCACCTCCCATGGTATTCTTTCCTAAGAATGCATTCTCTTAGAACATGCCTGAGGTCTGGCCGTATTCATTTCCCTTCCCCACTTTTAACATCACCCTTTTCTATTCATAAAATCAAAGCACACCATCCTGGAGACCTGTCCCAGATTGAAACGTAAATGAGACATCAAACAAGAATTAATGTAAAATACTAATATCTGTGTCAATAAAGCAAATTATTAACTAGGCAACTAAATCTTTCACAAGGGGGGGATGTTTCTAATACTTTGCTTTCAACAAGGATTGAATAATGACCTAATCCAATTGTCATCTGGTAGAGTATTAAAAATCATTTTGGATGATAAATCATGATGTGACTTTTGACATATACCTTGGAAGTAGTTCTAAAAATTGAGGAGTATAAGAAAATTTCATTCATTCATTCATACTCTGTTTATATTGAAGTATTTCAGAGCTAATATCTATTAACAAAATTGATGATAAATTTTATCCCTAAAAAATTCATACCAGGGTATATGAAGTAAAAATAAAAATCAATTTCAATAAAAATGCATTCCCAATAAATTTTGCTTTTTATGGCTATTATGTATCTAAATTTATGATATGTTTATGTCATCTTGATTAATCTTATGCTAATTTTCCAAAGTTTACTAATTGTGCAATACTAATAAGTCAATCTAAAAAATATTTTAACAGACACTTATGAAATGAGGAAATTAAAAAATTATTAATTTAAATTTGTACACACATATTATCTTACAGATAAGTAAAATAGGGTAATCAATAAAGAACCTTCAAAACAAAAGATGTATTACAGTAGGATGAAATTTTGTGGGGAAGTGTACTGAAGATAAAAATTCAAGGAGAAGAAGGAACAATACAAAATTTCTAACAGTTAAAACTTGTTTGGGTAGGTACTTTTTTTCTCATGATGGCTTTAAATAAATGAAGACAGTCATTAAATTCAAGACATTTAGATGTGAAAGAAAGATGGATCTAATCATTTCATTTTTAAGATGTCAAAGATGGAAATTACATCTTTCGCAACAATTTACATTTATGATGAAAAAGTTTAGATGTCAACAAAAAAATGATTGAGTGCATAGTTTTTGAAATTATTTTAGGAACTATGCAAGCAAAAAAGTTTGAAGACCACAACTTTGCATTCTAACTTAATCTTCACAGTAGCCTTGTCATTACTTTTATCTTACAGCGGAGGACACTGAAGCACAGAGAGGTTAATAAACTTGCCCAAAGTCACTCAGGTGATGTTACGGGCTGAATTATGTCTCCTCCACTGAGCCTAACTGAAGCCTAATCCTCAGTACTTCAGAATGTGACTGTATTTGGAGATAGGGTCTTTAAAGAGGTAATTAAGTTAAAATGAGGCCATTAGGCTGGGCCCTTATCTAATCTGACTAGTGTCCTTAAAAGTGAAGGAGATTGCAACAAAGACAGGCACAGAGGGAAGACCATGTGAAGACACAGGGAGAGCAGCGGTCTCTAAAGCCCAGGAGAGAGGCTTCAGGGGAAATGAATCCCGCTGACACCTTGATCTCAAGACTTCTGGCCTTTAAAAGTGTGAGATAATAAATTTCTGTTGTTAAAGCCATGCAGTATGTGGTACTTTGCTGTGGCGGCCTCCGCAACCTAATACACCTGGGAAGTGCCAAAGTTGGGCAGCTTGGCTCCAGAGCCCTCTTGTAACTATAGTCATCCCTCATATCTTTGGGGCATTGATTCCAGAACCTCCCAAGGATACCGAAATCCGAAGATGCTCAAGACCCTTATATAAAATGGAGTAGTATTTCCATATAACCTACGCACATCCTCCTGTATACTTTTAATCATCTCTAGATTACTTGTAATACATAATACAAGGTAAATGCTATGTAAACCATTGTTATGTTTTTTTCATCAGTATGATTTGTATTATTGTATTGTTATTTTTAATTGTTTTTTAATCAAATATTTTTTATCCGAGTTTGGTTGAATCCTCAGTGCAGAACCTGTGGATAGGGAGGACCAACTGTACTCTGCACCATTCTCAGAGACACTGGGCAGCTGGCGTCAGGGGTCCTGCAGGTGGGGAAATAGAGTCTCACAGAAGAAATGGCCAGACCACTGTGCCACAGCTGAAGCCAAGCAGAGATGGTACTGGGACCCAAGATAATCCCATGAGCTGACCGGTGTTTTGATAAGTCCAGTGCTCGAGGTAGCAAGGTGAGCAGCCTGGAGATCAGGAATGCAGGGAACAGTAGAGCAGCTGCAGGGTTCCCCGGAGGCAGGGAGCCGACTAAGAAGGGCCAGGAGCCCGATGAGGCCAGACAGTGCCAGGGTACAGGAGATGCACCCCTGCCAGCGCTTGCTGAGGCACCGTTCTGAGATCTCGGCAGCATGTATGTGGGGTTGATGGTCCCATTAAGAGGGACTGCCCACAGGATCAAAAGTGATTCTGGACATCAAAGATGAGGTTTACAGGCACCTGAGAAATAGACTTCACTGAGAGTCACCCTTAAATATGCATAGCATAATTAGTGCTATTAATATTTACCGAAGTGTGCCAACCCAGATTAGCCTCCCCAAGAAGCAGAAATCCTAAGAAAAAGATTCAAGTGTCAAGAGTTTATGTGGGAGGTGATCCTAGGAAACCCACTGGAAAGTGCCGGAGACCAAGAAGAGAATCAGCCAATAAAGGGTGCGTAATGGAGCCAATACACCCCGTGGGCTGTGGCCTGGCACCAGGCACTTGACCTAGAAGCAACCGTCCTGCACAGAGGTGAACATTCAGGACGTGTTCTCAAATGGTTATTTTAGGATCCTTAGGACTTTGAAGACTCTGAAAGGAAGGCTTATTTTTGCAACCTCTCCTGATAAGAAGAAGCAGGCCCTGGGCCACTCCCTACCACCCCCACCCTTTCTTCTTCTTTTCAGCTGAAACCATGCTGCTCACACTCTCACCCCATGGCAAACCTCCCAGATGGCATGTCCAGCCTGAAGGCTCTGTCTTCCCCATCTAGACCTGTCCCTATCACCACTGCCACCCCAAGCTGGGTGATTTGAGGTGGAGGCAGCCTTACTCCCATCTTATCAGGCCCCGTAACAGTGTTGGGACCTCCAAGGCATGGTTGATATCTACCCACCTTACCCCTATGCCCTGGCCACGTCTTCTGACCTCCAGGCTTTGCACAGGCCCCGCAATAGGACCCATGGATGTTTCTGCTGTATCCATCAAGTGTCTGCACTCGAGGCAAGGACTGTGGCAACCCTGGCGTTGCAAGGGGTCACAGTACTTCATGCACAGTAAGCACCCAGGAGCATTTTCAGAGTGAAGGACCACAGTACTCTCCCCATCTCCTGCAGCCCAGCACAGGCTGGGAGCCCTGCAGCCTGAGAAAGCACCTCCCTCATTCAGGGCTCAACCCACAGCCCCTGCCTGCATTTACCCAGTGGGAGAGAAAGGACCAGGGTGCACCCCTTACTACACACAGCCCTGTTTCCACCATGTCAGGCCCCAGAGCCCAGCCCCCTCCAGGAATGAGTCCTGCCTGGACAACCTTCCAGGCCTACAGTTATAAGGACAGGACCACCTCTATCACCAAGTGGGAAGCTGAGGAGAAGCAAGTCCTCCACCTCCTGCCCCTTTGGCACAAAAAGCCACTTAGAGGCCACATTTCTCACATGCAAAGGACCAGCATGCACAGCTGTCTGTCCAGGGTCCCATAGTCCCACATGGCAGCCATGAGCTCCAGGTGGCTATCAAGTCCCAAAATGTGATGAATCCAAAATGAGATGTGCTGGAGTGTGAGATCACACCAGATGATAAAGCCACACCTTAGCATAAAAAAAGAAATATCGGCCGGGCGCGGTGGCTCACGCCTGTAATCCCAGCACTTTGGGAGGCCGAGGCGGGCGGATCACGAGGTCAGGAGATCGAGACCATCCCGGCTAAAACGGTGAAACCCCGTCTCTACTAAAAATACAAAAAAATCAGCCGGGCGTAGTGGCGGGCGCCTGTAGTCCCAGCTACTTGGGAGGCTGAGGCAGGAGAATGGCATGAACCCGGGAGGCGGAGCTTGCAGTGAGCCGAGATCCCGCCACTGCACTCCAGCCTGGGCGACAGAGCGAGACTCCGTCTCAAAAAAAAAAAAAAAAAAAAAAAAAAAGAAATATGACATATCTCATTCATCATCTTTATTTGTTGATACTGTTGGAATGATATTCCAGATACAGTGGGTTAAGTAAAAATATTAAAATTAATTTTACCTGTTGCTTTTTACCTTTTTGAATGTGACTACTAAAAAAAAAAATGGTCAGATCACCTGTATGGCTGACATATTTCTAGGGGGCATCATGAAAAGGGCCTTCACTTGTCTGAGCAGCTGGGCTGCCAGTGGTGAAGGGGCACCCCAGGAAGGATGAGCCCTGCACATGAGAAGGTGCCCCTGCAGCTGCCCATGCCAGGAACGGCAGTCACTCAGCACAGTGAAAGTACCTCCCACAGCCCCAAGAGGTAAGAGGAACCTTCATTCCAATGTTAGAGAAGAGTCAGGAGTTCAGAAGACCCACTTTATAAATAAGGGAGCTTGAATCTAGGCTCCAAGTCCCGTGCTCCAGGGAGGCTAACCAACCCCCACAAAGGAAAGATGGGTGCTCAGGGGGCCTGACCAGAGAGCCAGCTGAGCCTCCCGGCACCCACTGAAGAACCAGAGAGATCTCGCTCCAGCTGTCCAGGTATTTGACTCCAGATGAATGAGTCCTTCCTCCTCTCAAAGGCCCCAGGCCATCCTCTGCTCCTCATCCACAGCCACCCCATTCTGTGCTTGGAGGCCTCCTCCCCACCCGAGTCTGGCTGTGGGTGGGATGTAACCTCCAGCTCCCTTTTCTTGCATCTCTCTGGAAGGAACAGCCACAGGCCCTTAGCTTCATCCTCATGGAGAAGCAGAGTGCCTGGGACAGGGGAGTCATGGGTGTTTAACAAGCCTTGGGAGGTTCTGTTTCCAGTTCTAGCACAATCTGTGCAAACCAAACAGTATCACAGCTCACACTGATGAGTACAGAGAAAGAAGCCAGGCCACTCCTCTTTCCTATCTAGTTCGAGTTTGTGCCTTAAAAACTGCACATTTAAAAGCTCAGACACAGAAGGTTGGATTGTTGGAGCCACTCCAAGGCAGCAGGTCAGGACTAATTCGCGAACAAGCAAAAGCCTTTGGAAACAAGTATGATTGAGGAACCAGAAGAATAATTCCAGGCTGGTGTTTTCCAGGATGACTCAGTGCTGTCAAGGCCCTGGGATGAGGTGCCTGGCACTGCGGGCACAACAAAGAGCAAGGACAGAGACTTGAGGCTCAGGAGGGAAGGGGAAACATGTTTGTGCTTGGCAAGCAACATATGTGTGCAATCAGCTCCAGCTCACTGAATGTTGAGCGCCCTTAGAGGCAAAGCAGTGCCAGGCTTGGGGTGAGGGCAGAGAAGCAGCAAGGCTGAGAGTGAAGAGGGGCTGGCCTGTGGCCTCCTGGCTCCTGGGATGGGCTGTGTTTATCTCAAGGTCCCACTGGGGGTTGCATCCGGAGTGGGACCAGCTACTCTGATGTCCTCTTTCCAGGCAGATGTTGCTGCAGGTGCTGGAGAGCAGGTGCCGGGCTCAGCTCTCCTGTCCACATGTGTGTAAGCAGCCTGCATACCTTGATGCCCTCAGCTCCCACACATGCAGGAGGGGTTGGGTCTCCTGAATGTGGTCAGGATGAGGGAAGCCCAACAAACATACAACTGCATAGAGAGACTGGAAACCATGAACAGAACAAGGGCCTGTATCTTCCTCAAACCAAGCACTGTTCTCAGTAGTGTATAGATGTACTACTAATTTTAATCAAGGTGATGCAAAGTTTGTTATAGTGCAGTGCATTAAATGACAGAATATGTTATATTTGAAAGTTAAGAGTGTTGCAGGTTTTAGTGATGTCATTTCTGAGGATCAGTGGGATCTTTGGACACACATGGCTTGGTCTACAAATGCTTGATTGCTTCCAATGAGAGCCATGGCCACCTTCAGCTAATCCATAAAAGGAGGAGCATCTTGCGGTGCAGCCTGACATGGGGGGATGTGCCCTGTGCCTGCTGTAGAGCTGGTACCTGCCAGAGCCTAAGACTTTAGAATCACTGTCAGCCCCATGGCCCAAACCCCTTCTAAACCTGCTTGGATGCAAATAGGGCATGCTCCTCAGGAACCAGCTGGTTGCTGGGGTAACAGCTCAGCACCACCAATCCTCAGGCCCCACAGGTGGTCGCAGTTATGCCCCAGCCACCAGGAATGATTGGGCAGTATCCCTTAATCCTCCTCAAACTTGTTCCTTGCTTGCTTGGCCTCCCTTGCTTCCCACTGGGCCTGGCAGTGAGAAGAGACAGCAATAAAGTCTCCTTTGAGTGGTGATTTAAAGATAACCACACATTCCTCATCACTCTTCCTCTTCCCTAAGTCTGGCCCGTCCTCACAACTTGCTGTAATTGATAGAATGTGGGAGAGTGACACAGTGCCAGCGTCCAGTCTAGGCATGTCCTTGGAGCCTGGAGCAAGTTGGGGGGTATGGCTACCTTGCTGGTGACACCACAGGGAGAGAAATATCACCAGCCCTGCTGTCCTATTTGTCTCAGAGGCAGGCCCCAGGGCTGAGAGTGGCACTACCTTGGATCTCCAGTCCTGGTCAACTTCAGGTGGCTGAAGACACACAGATGACTCCAGGTGACACTGCCAGAAGAACCACCCAGTTGCACCCAGCCCAGTGCAGAATCTTGAACAAATAAATGTTGTGTTAAGCCACTACTTCCTGGGTGATTTGTTACTCAGCAAGAGATACCTTGAACATTTTGGGATTACCCGTGTGTGTTGACAGGAAAGGCAACTATTCTTAGTTATACCTTCAAAGCCAGGAAGGAAGTCTTGACCACCTTAAAACAAGGCCATATTTATCATATCCTTTCTGTCCTATCATATCATTTTTGTTATTAAATTTCATAGAGAAAAAAAGTTAGGAACAGTCCAGGCCTCATGGATCTACAGATCCATGCAGATCTACCAGCAAATCTACCTGCCAATCTGCTTCTGGAACACCACCTGAGCCTGAGCAACCTTCTTGGGCACCATCTAGGGGAGGGAACACCCTCAAAACCCCTTGCAGTGGTGCCAAGGCTCTGGGAGGACGGCTTCTGCTATGGCCCTGCAGTGGAAGGTACAGGGCTTAGATTCAGAGGAAGTGGGGTATGGGTCCTGAGCAATATCTGGGCAATTTGCCACTGCTCTGCATATCCCCACCTTCTCAGCTAGGACACAGGGGCTTGATGTGACCACTTACACCCCAGACAGAGCATGGCAGAAGCAGAATCACTCACAGACAGTGTTCCATTTGCACCATGACTCCCTTGTTGAGCCTGTCTCAGGGGGTCCCAGAGGCCTTGTTTCCTCCAATTCAATGGACCTGGGAATAATCAGCTCAAAGCCCATGGTTTCCAGGGGGAACAATCCTGCCCTTCCCCCAACCACAGGACAACTTGGAACGCTCAGGGGATGTTCTGATTATAGCACTGATTGGGGACAATCCTTGACCATTGATAGGCCATGGCAGGGAAGCTTGACATCTGTGATATATAGGAAAGTCCACAAATGAAGATTTCTCCTATAGACTTTGAGTAACCCTCTTGACATTCATGCAGAAAAGAGGAAACCCATTCATGAGAGCCTGGAAGCTAAGTCCAATTTATGTGGAAACACAAGGTGTGTATTTTCTCCATGCTAATGCACAATGAATGTTTAAAGGGTGTGCAAATTGGCTGAAGAGTGTTTTCTTTCATTAAAAACCCTACCAACAGTTGGGATGTTAGGAATCCCATCACCATGGGCAGTGCCTCTCCTGGATATTACAGCCCATCTGTGTCTGTCTATGCTGATCCTTGTCCCCTGCATGTTGAGTCTTCGCATATACAAACAGGTGCTTATCTAGCGTTTATTTCAAGCGTCAAATATAAAGGATTATTATCTTCTCTGAAATTCACACTGATTCAAAGAAGAGGTGTAATACTAGAATTTGTCTCAGTGTGCTATAAATTGCTTTCCTCTGATTTTTCCTTTAATTATAAAGCATTAAGTTGATTTGAGGGGGTACACATAGTATAGCTCATCTATGAATTTCATTTTAAAATAGTAGAGATCATTCCAAAATACTTGTTGTAAAAGCAGGATGCTTGATGGGATAGAGGTAAGAAGAACAGCTCTAAGGCCTTGCTACTCCAAGCATGGCCTCACACCAGCAGCAGAGCTGGCTGGAAATGTAGGATTGCAGGCCTGCCCCAGACATCCTGAATCAGAATCTGCATTTGAGCAGGTTCCCACGTGAACGGTCTGCTCCTGAAGTTTTGGGGAGGGCTGCTCTAAGACTCCTGGGCCCAGCTGAAGGAGACTACCTAGGCCCATCATGCACGGTCCTCCATCCTTGGCCCCACAGTGAGTTGAAAGATGCCTGGCTCCTGGAGGTGCATGGGGCAAGACCTGCCCTGCCAATGGGAGTTGCACTCAACCAAAACCAAACTACTAGGAGATGCAGGTACTGGCTAGAGCTGTCTTGGAAGAGCCTCAGCAACAACTGCCATGGAGGGCTAAAGAAAAATTCCCTTGGCAAGGTCAGCCCCCGATAGCCAAGGTTTTCTTGAATAGAAACATGAGAGGCTTGGGAACCCAGCTTGGAAACTGCCTATGTTGCTTCCACACTCCAGCAGTTGAGAGGCTGGGGCTCAACTTCACCCTACCGCTCCCTGGTTTCAGGGCCTTCTCAAGCTCCTCAGCTGTGCTGTCAGGTAAGAGCATTGTCGCTCTCATCCAGGGTCACATAAGCACATGGAGGGGCCATATGAGGTGCCTGGCCCACAGCGGGTGCTCAGACAACGCTCTGGACAGCTGTGGTTTGGGGAGGGTTTTCAGGCACTGTGCACAGGTGCAAATGGGACCATCTGAGGCCCACTCCAGTGGGGATGAGGCAGCTGGGATCCCCATTCTCTGAAGCCTCTCTGTGAGGCCTGGAGGAGGATGCCAGGTGCTTGCACATGTCCCAGTCTGCCCTTCTTGGCCCTTCTTTGTTTCCCTGATCCTGTCTAGGGCCTAGCAGGGCCTGCAGCCAGTGCAGACTCTCGATCATGCCCCTGAGCCCAGGCAAAAGTGCCTTCAGAGCATACCCAGCTTGGAAACTGCCTATGTGGCTTCCACACTCCAACAGTTGGGTGTAAGGCAGGTGGGAAATAAACCCATTTGTCCACCATGTGCTGAGCATCTGTCCTGAGCCACATTCCAAGGAGAATGAATTGAATGTGTGGTCCCTGCCTCTCACACTGTCCTCTTGAAGGAAGGCCCATGCCAAGGCACAAGTGCAATGTGCCACAAGCTCACAAGAGTATTCAGGGGTTGAGAACAGGAAAAAGCTGCATTGCCACTGATGAGGGAGGTGGGTATTGCAGGGGAAGGCCCTGGAGCTGGCTTTGAAGGACAGCATAGAGACACAGGCAGAGGCTGGTGGGAGAGCACAGGCTCCAGAGGAAAGACACCCATGCTACAGCCTCTGCCCCATTGCCGATTGTGGAGCATGCTGGAGTTCTCCACTGCCCTCTGGATCCCCGTCCACCTTTGTCCAGCCTGCTCAGCCCTGGAGGCACCTTCCTGTTCCTGACCCCCTGGCTTCTGGTGGGTGGCACCAAGGGCAATAGCAGCAGGAGATCCAAAGTGGGGAGGGGAGAGGGCCTGAGGAGTGTACCATCCTGGCTCCCTCCCAGCTGCCTCCTGGTTTGTCAGGAGCTGAGTCCCTCTCTGCAGACCCCTGATGGTGACACCTCTCCCAAAGCTGCAGCTAACGCATGGTGCATTCCAGGAACCTCCCCTCTCCTTGTCCCTTAAGGTCTAGGATGGAAACAGCATCCCATGGGTACTTGTCATTGGATGTGTCACCTCCCTCATTGTCCCTTAGGCTTGCCCACACCCCTGCATTAATGCTGCACAGAGTCACTGTTGGAGTGGCCCCTCAAACTGTGACCACTGAATCTAATATTTCCAAGCTCTATGACCTTGAGCTAACAGTGACAATTATTGTGTATAATTAGAGCCATATGTCAACATAAAAGCAGGACATTCGCTGGAGCCTGTGTTACAGGTTTTAGCATCTTTCTTTTGGTAACTTAGTCCTCACTATGAGCCTGAGACTGGTGCACTCCTGCCTCCTCCATGTCGCAGATGAGGAAAGCAGGCACAGAAGGAGGTTGTCAGCCTGTAAGTAAGGGAGCCACTGGAACCGGAGTCGGTCCATTTCCAGAGCTCGGCTCTTACCCTGGTCATCTCTGGGAGCCACAGTGTCCCCAAGCTGTTTTGGAGATTCTGAAGCAGGATGCAGGGAGAGGCTCTCAAAGGAGACCTCCAACAGGAGCTGCTGGGCAAGTGAAATCGGGGCTCGGGGAGAAGCAGAGACTCTCGAGAAATCAGGCAGTGTTCATAGAGATATGAGAGTCATGAGAACTACACTTTCCTGAGAGGAAGGCAGGAAGGGGCTGAAGGCAGAGTGCAGAGAAACAGGGACACCAAAGTGAAAGGAGACGGAAGGGAACTCTCAGACTGGTCAGGGAAAGAACTGGGGAGACTTCCCAAGTGCCACCTGCCTGCCAGTGAACGCTCATAAGAACATTCCACTGAGGGAAGAGGGTGTCAATCTCCTTTCATAAATGAGGAAACCCATGTTCAGAATGGCTCGGGAACTTGCCCAAAACCTCAGCCTCAAACTGCAGAGTCAAAATCCAACCCTAGGCTCATCTGATGCCACAGACTCTTCAGGGAGATTGACAGCAGGAAGGGGCCTCAGAAACCGAGAAAGGGGAAATTCAGTGATGTCAATGATGGCCACAGTGTATTTTAGCAGAGTCCAAGGGAAACACAGCTTGCTCACTTTGCCCACAGTCACAGGTAAATAATCCCTGACTCACAATGCACTTTTCCACCAAGGTGGTACTTTGTCTAGCATCTTCCGCCCGTCTGTGGTCGGGGTGTGCTCCCATCCCAGACATGACCTTATCTGTTTTCTTACCTCTGGATTTCCGCTTGTTAAACACAGACTGCCAGACGATGACCAGCATGAAGAGCAGAATGCTGAGGATCCCCACGCAGCACACGAGGACAGCATACACATAGAGATCTGAAAGGCAAGGACAGACACGTGAGTCAGCCTTCTGGGGGCCGCAGCAGAAGTGCGCTGGCAAGAGAACAATCAGAATTGGAATATTTGAAATCCCAGTGCTACAGTCAACAAGGCAGTGTGGTATTGGTGCAAGGACAGACACAGATCAATGAAACAGAACAGAGAGCCCAGAAATAGACCCACACAGGCATGCTCAGTTGATTTTTGACAAAAGTGCAAAAGTAATTCAACGGCGGAAGGACAGTTTCTTCAATCAATGGTGCTGGGTCAATGGGACTTCCACTGGCAGAAAATAAAACTAAAATAAACCTCACCTTTTATTCAAAAATTAACTCAAAATGAACCACAAACCTAAATGTAAAATGTAAGCTAGAAGACTTCAGAAAAAACCCACAAGAAAAATCTTTGGGATCTAAGAATAGACAGAGTTCTTAGACTTGACACAAGAGGCACCGTCTATATTAGTAAAACTTGACATACTATACTTGACTTTACCAAAATTAAAAACTGATGTTCTGTAAACAAACATATAAAGAGGATAAAAAGTCAAACAGACTGGGAGAAAATATTTGTAAACCACATATCCAACAAAGGACTACTATCCAGACTCTAAAGAACTCTAAAAACTCAACAGCAAAAACCACACAATCCTGTTGGAGAAATGAAAAAAAAAAAAATACAGACATTTCACTAAAGAGAATGTACAGGTGGCAAACAATCCCATGAGAAAATGTTTGACTTCTATCGCTGTTAGAGAAATGCAAAATGCAACTACAGTAAAATATCCCTCATGCCTTTCAGGGTGGCTAAAATAAAAAATAGTGACATCCCCAAATGCTGGCAAGGATACAGATAAACTGGGTCACTCAGACGTGGCTGGTGGGAATGTAAAGAGGCTCAGCCACTCTAGAATAGAGCTTTACAGTTTCTCAAAGGAGACACCTGTAACAACCATTCAGCCCAGAAATTGCATTCCTTGCATTTGTCCCAGAAAAATGACAGCTTAAGTTCACATGGAAAACTGTACATGTATGTTGGGTAGCCAAAAACTGGAAACAGACCGGATATCCTTCAGCAAGTGAATAGTTAAACAAAGTGTGGTACATCCACACCACAGCATCCTCAGAAATAAAAAGAACAAACTATCGACACACACACCAACCTGGATGAATCTCCAGAGAAGTACGCTGAGTGAAAAAAAAAAAAAAATCCCAAAAGGTTACATTCTTGATATGACATTCTTCATCAATGTAACATTCTTGATATGACAAAATTATAGAAATAGAGAACAGATGAGTGGTTGCCAGCAGTTAAGAAGGGGGTGGTGGTGAGAAGAAAATGGGTTTGGCTACAAGGGCCACTTATAATGACAGAAATATTCTGTATCTTGACTGTATGGATGTTAATATCCTGTTTGTGATATTGTTTTATGGTTTTGCAAAATGCTATCATTGGGAGACATTAGGTAAAGGAAACAAACTGGTACAAGGGATCTCTGTGTATGATTTTTTAGAAATTGATTTTTTCTTTCTTGCCCTGTGGCCCAGGCTGGAGCGCAGTGGCATAATCTTGGCTCACTGCAACCTTCTCCTCTCAGGTTCAAGCATTTCTCCAACCTCAGCCTCCTGAGTAGCTGGGGCTACAGGTCCACGCCGCCACACCCAGCTAATTTTTGTATTTTTGGTAGAGACAGGGTTTCACCATGTTGGCCAGGTTGGTCTTGAACTCCTGACTTCAGGTGATCCCCCCACCTCCACCTCCCAAAGTGCTGGGATTACAGGCATGAGCCACTGTGCCTGGCCAGAAATGGATATTAATCTACAATAATCTCAAAATAAAAAGTTGTCTAAGTTGAACAGTTAAACCATGTTCATGTACATACATCTCTTTTAGAGATAAGGTCTCACTCCGTCACCCAGGCTGGAGTGCAGTGATAAAATCACAGCTCACTGCAGCCTTGAACTCCTGGGCTCAGGAGACCTTTCCGCCTCAGCCTCCTGAGTAGCTAAAATTACAGGCATGAGACTCAGTGCCCAGCTACATATACTTACATTTCTTAAACTCTAATAATCAACGTTATCATTAGTCTGATCAATACAATGCCAAGCTGCTCAGAAAGTGAAAAGGGAAGCCAAAAGCATTATTCTAACCATCTTTGAAGAAAAATGCCACAGGCATTTATTTGAACTTAGCAAAAATGTTTCTCTGTTGACTTAACTTTCTACAACCAACAGACATTTACTATCAGCCATGGTCAGTACTTTCCTGAGTCCAAGAAAGATAAAAATGCACACACAAAGGCTTTCTCTTCAAGAAATAGAGGACCACTTAGTAAGTGTAACAATAAGAACGTGTGTCCAATACCAGGAACACTCAGAGACACCCAGCCCAGCCTGGGGAGGCTGAGAGAAGCTTCCAAGAGGGCTAGAGTTCTGCACCGAGTTGTATTTAAAATAACAAAAAATACAAAAATGTATAGAAAAAAAAGCCATCGGCCATCCTGTCACCCTGAGATAACTACTATTAATAAATATTTGGTATACTTTATGATGAATATGCATATATTTTTAAATTGAGATCATATACTTTCACATCTTTTTTCAATTTCTCTCATTTTCTCAATAAATTCTTTTCAAAAATGATTCAGAATCATTTTGAAAAATATGATAAAAGTTTATCATATTAATATATCAGCAATGATTTAACAATCTCTTACTATTGGCTACTCAAAGTGTTTCTACCTGTTCCCCATCATAAATAATTCTGTGGTGAGCATTCATGAACTTAAACCTTAGTACAACTTTCACAATATGTTCTCAAGATTAAGTTCCTAGAAGTGGAATAGCTGAGTCAACAGGAAAAGAACATTTGTAAAGCCCTTGTGGCGTGGAGAAGCAGTTAGTTAAGTGCTTAAGCTGAAAAAGCAAGCCTACTGGGAGTAGCAGGTGGCTGGCTCCCAGGGAGAGCCTGGAGAAGCAGGTCAGGCTTATGGTTAATGAGAAGAAAGGGGGCATGAAATGGAATCAGACATTCAGGTTCCTTTTGACTCTCCCCTCCCTGGCCTAGGCCCCAGGGAAGCCCAGCAGAACCTCTGCCCCTGGAGTCTATGAGATCTTCCTGTGTTCTTAAGGCAGTCAGCATTTTTGCCTAAGCTAGTTTGAATAGATTTCTGCTCTTGGCAATTTAGATGTCTGGACTGAAAATAAAATAAGTAGAAAGTGCCTTAGGGCAAGGTAGCAGGTGAAGGGTGCATCTGCACTAACATTTAAGGAGAGAGGGGCAGGTGTGTGGAAGGGAGTCTCCTACAAAGGATCAGAGCTAGTCATGGATGCAGAGGAGGGCTGGGGCGAGAGTTCTGGAAGCCCAGAAGAAAGCACTGTAAGAAGGATGCCTTAATAGCATCAACTGCTGGAAAACATCCACTCTGTTTTGCTCCTAGGAAGCTACTGGGAAAGTCTTGGAGGAAAGCCCTGTCAGTAGGCTGGTGGGGGCAGAGTCAGGTTAGAGAGGTCCAGAAGCTGATGGAATGTGAGGAGCTTGAGAAAGTTCTCACATAGCTAAAAATCAAAACTGCCTTTCTAGTAAATGCCTGTGTCTCTGATGTGTGGGCTCTGTAGATTAACAGGGTGGAGAACTCTGTGAGGGGTCAGAATTAGGAGAGAGGCTGCAGCATCCATTTAAACAGTGTGAAACTCAGCAACAGGACTCTTGGATTCTGGACAAGACACTTCATGACGAACTCAGGGACAGAGCAAAGTTCACAGACCAGGATTTGTGGCAGGATCCCAGGGCACAGGATGGCCACAACCCAGCAAACCCACGGCCAGTCCTGCCTTTCCACATTGGTCAGCAAACTACTCCAGAACAGGATGGCAGAGCCCTTGCTGGCAGGAGAAGATGGTGAACAACACAGTCAGGCTGCCAGGCCGACAGAACCTCAGGCAGGTGAACACAGCACCTGCCTGGAAGGGACTATGCAAATGTGGTCCCCAGACCAAAAGGCAGAGAAACTTGCCTTTAGTCTTATTCATGGAGTGGAGAGAAAAATTGTCTTACAAAAGCTTCCATGCCCATGGAGCACAGCAGCTGATCCACAAGCTCACCTCTTCATCTGAGCTCTTTCCTTCGCTTCAGAACAGCAGGAACCCAGGAGGGACAAGGTTGCAGGTAAGAACCGCAGTAGGCATCTCTCCCCAAGTGTCCCTAGCAGCATGCTGCAGACATTTGGGGCACACTCTGCCCAGGCAGGAGGTCAGGGGCTTCAAAAGGCCCAAGCTACAGTTTCAGTTCACAGCTTCCTCAACATGGCTCAAAGGGGGCTCCCCACAGGCAGCCAGGGCTACAGAATCAGAAAACATCTGGCGACTCTGGAAGGCTCAGCTGGCCGCCAAACACACAGGCCTCCAGTTATGGACACCAGCCAGCGGGCACCTCCTGCCTGCGTGTGGCTCCCCACACACACAAGACCGGTCATGGCCACTCTCTGTTTTGTTCTTGAAGCTACAGATCTGTAAAAAGTGCTGCCTTGCAGGAGAAGAAAAGCTCAGAAAGACCACCTGAGTTCCCCTTGATTGAGCAGCAACCAGTATGCCTATGTTCCGAATTTTTTTCCCTTCTGTTACAAGCATTCCTTTTGTTGCATAAAGATAACCACCCTGCTGTGTCCACTCAAAACATGAAAACCCCCCTCCCTGGCTGTTCTCTGCAAACAACAGTTAAACTCTGAGCCATTGAAGCCAGGGTCACAAATTCCTACGACTGCAGAGTCACCTTCCTGTCATGTCAGCTAATGCAAAGCCCTGCCGCACTCAGTTCCAGGGCACTGCTCTCAGGCTGGAATGCCCGCCCAGTGGTGCCAGATCTTCCAATTCATCCTTTACCTTTTTATGTAAAAATCTCTCTATAAAATGTTGGCTCAAAAGTTTTAAAACTCAGACTAGGCCAAATAATGCTGGTTGAAAGGTTGAAGCCAGACCTTTCAACAAAGGCTTGAGTTTAACAAAATATCTGCAATTAATCAAATCTGGAGTTCACTTTTAAAATACCACATATGGTCAGGCATGGTGGCTCATGCCTGTAATCCTAACACTGTGGGAGGCCGAGGCAGACCAATCACCTGAGGTCGGGAGTTCGAAACCAGCCTTGTCAACATGGTGAAAC